>NC_000003.12:159160119-159463149 GCF_000001405.40 Homo sapiens
CTGTATTTTCTATTTTCCTTTCTTCTGGACTGAGGTTCGGCAAAACTTAGCACAGAGGCAAGATATTGGGAGAGATGCTGCCCTGTTTCCATCACCAACACTCACACCTTCATCCGGGGGAGGAGGTACTCATTATGGCTGTAATTTTTTGAGCACTTACCACATATCCAACATAATTCTATTATTATTTTTTTCTTTTTTGAGATGGAGTCTTGCTCTGTCACCAAAGCTGGAGTGCAGTGGTGTGATCTCGGCTCACTGCAACCTCTGCCTCTGGGGTTCAAGCCATTCTTCTGCCTCAACCTCCTGAGTAGCTGGGATTATAGATGTGTGCCATCACGCCCAGCTGATTTTTGTATTTTTGTTGTTGTTGTAATTGTGATTTATATTTTTATTTTTTTATTTTATTATTTTATTTTATTATTATTATACTTTAAGTTTTAGGGTACATGTGCACAATGTGCAGGTTAGTTACATATGTATGCATGTGCCATGCTGGTGTGCTGCACCCATTAACTCGTCATTTAGCATTAGGTATATCTCCTAAAGCTATCCCTTCCCCCTCCCCCCACCCCACAACTGTCCCCAGAGTGTGATGTTCCCCTTCCTGTGTCCATGTGTTCTCATTGTTCAATTCCCACCTATGAGTGAGAATATGCGGTGTTTGGTTTTTTGTTCTTGCGATAGTTTACTGAGAATGATGATTTCCAATTTCATCCGTGTCCCTACAAAGGACATGAACTCATCATTTTTATGGCTGCATAGTATTCCATGGTGTATATATGCCACACTTTCTTATTCCAGTCTATCATGGTTGGACATTTGGGTTGGTTCCAAGTCTTTGCTATTATGAATAATGCCGCAATAAACATACGTGTGCATGTGTCTTTATAGCAGCATGATTTATAGTCCTTTGGGTATATACCCAGTAATGGGATGGCTAGGTCAAATGATATTTCTAGTTCTAGATCCCTGAGGAATCGCCACATCCACTTCCACAATAGTTGAACTAGTTTACAGTCCCACCAACAGTGTAAAAGTGTTCCTATTTCTCCACATCCTCTCCAGCACCTGTTTCCTGACTTTTTAATGATTGCCATTGTAACTGGTGTGAGATGGTATGTCATTGTGGTTTTGATTTGCATTTCTCTGATGGCCAGTGATGGTGGAGCACTTTTTCATGTGTTTTTTGGCTGCATAAATGCCTTCTTTTGAGAAGTGTCTGTTCATGTCCTTTGCCCACTTTTTGATGTGGTTGTTTGTTTTTTTCTTGTAAATTTGTTTGAGTTCATTGTAGATTCTGGATATTAGCCCTTTGTCAGATGAGTAGGTTGTGAAAATTTTCTCCCAATTTGTAGGTTGCCTGCTCACTCTGATGGTAGTTTCTTTTTCTGTGCAGAAGCTCTTTAGTTTAATTCGATCCCATTTGTCAATTTTGGCTTTTGTTGCCATTGCTTTTGGTGTTTTAGACATGAAGTCCTTGCCCATGCCTATGTCCAGAATGGTAATGTCCAGGTTTTCTTCTAGGGTTTTTATGGTTTTAGGTCTAACGTTTAAGTTTTTAATCCATCTTGAATTAATTTTTGTATAAGGTGTAAGGAAGGGATCCAGTTTCAGCTTTCTACCTATGGCTAGCCAGTTTTCCCAGCACCATTTATTAAATAGGGAATCCTTTCCTCATTGCTTGTTTTTCTCAGGTTTGTCAAAGATCAGATAGCTGTAGATATGTGGCGTTATTTCTGAGGGCTCTGTTCTGTTCCATTGATCTATATCTCTGTTTTGGTACCAGTACCATGCTGTTTTGGTTACTGTAGCCTTGAAGTATAGTTCGAAGTCAGGTAGCGTGATGCCTCCAGCTTTGTTCTTTTGGCTTAGGATTGACTTGGCGACACGGGCTCTTTTTTGGTGCCATATGAACTTTAAAGAAGTTTTTTCCAATTCTGTGAAGAAAGTCATTGGTACCTTGATGGGGATGGCATTGAATCTGTAAATTACCTTGGGCAGTATGGCCATTTTCACAATATTGATTCTTCCTACCCATGAGCATGGAATGTTCTTCCATTTGTTTGTATCCTCTTTTATTTCCTTGAGCAGTGGTTGGTAGTTCTCCTTGAAGAGGTCCTTCACATCCCTTGTAAGCTGGATTCCTAGGTATTTTATTCTCTTTGAAGCAATTGTGAATGGGAGTTCACCCATGATTTGGCTGTCTGTTTGTCTGTTATTGGTGTATAAGAATGCTTGTGATTTTTGTACATTGATTTTGTATCCTGAGACTTTGCTGAAGTTGCTTATCAGCTTAAGGAGATTTTGGGCTGAGACAGTGGGGTTTTCTAGATATACAATCATGTCATCTGCAAAGAGGGACAATTTGACTTCCTCTTTTCCTAATTGAATATCCTTTATTTCCTTCTCCTGCCTAATTGCCCTGGGCAGCACTTCCAACACTATGTTGAATAGGAGTGGTGAGAGAGATAGAGACACAAAAAACCCTTCAAAAAATTAATGAATCCAGGAGCTGGTTTTTTGAAAGGATCAACAAAATTGATAGACCACTAGCAAGACTAATATAGAAGAAAAGAGAGAAGAATCAAATAGACGCAATAAAAAATGATAAAGGGGATATCACCACCGATCCTACAGAAATACAAACTACCGTCAGAGAATACTACAAACACCTCTATGCAAATAAACTAGAAAATCTAGAAGAAATGGATAAATTCCTTGACAAATACACCCTCCCAAGACTAAACCAGGAAGAAGTTGAATCTCTGAATAGACCAATAACAGGCTCTGAAATTGTGGCAATAATCAGTAGCTTACCAACTAAAAAGAGTCCAGGACCAGATGGATTCACAGCCGAATTCTACCAGAGGTACAAGGAGGAACTGGTACCATTCCTTCTGAAACTATTCTGATCAGTAGAAAAAGAGGGAATCCTCCCTAACTCATTTTATGAGGCCAGCATAATTCTGATACCAAAGCTGGGCAGAGACACAACCAAAAAAGAGAATTTGAGACCAATATCCTTGATGAACATTGATGCAAAAATCCTCAATAAAATAGTGGCAAACCGAATCCAGCAGCACATCAAAAAGCTTATCCACCATGATCAAGTGGGCTTCAGCCCTGGGATGCAAGCCTGGTTCAATATACACAAATCAATGAATGTAATCCAGCATATAAACAGAACCAAAGACAAAAACCACATGACTATCTCAATAGATGCAGAAAAGGCCTTTGACAAAATTCAACAACCCTTCATGCTAAAAACTCTCAATAAATTAGGTATTGATGGGACGTATCTCAAAATAATAAGAGCTATCTATGACAAACCCACAGCCAGTATCATACTGAATGGGCAAAAACTGGAAGCATTCCCTTTGAAAACTGGCACAAGACAGGGATGCCCTAATTTTTGTATTTTTAGTAGAGATGGGGTTTCACCATGTTGGCCAGGCTGGTCTTGAACTTCTGAGCTCAGGTAAGCCTCCCACCTAGGCCTCCCAAAGTGCTGGGATTACAGACTTGAGCCACCATGCCCAGCCTCATTTTTCATGTATTATCTCACTTGATCCTTGTAACAATCCTAGAAAGTAGGATGTGATTATCTCTCCCCTTTTACAGGAAGTAACTGAGGCAAAGAGTGTTTATTATCTGCCCAAGGTCACACACTAGTAGCAGAACCATACTGGAGGTTGGGAAGTCTGGCTTCAAAGCCCACACCTGAACACTGCATACACTACGCTTGAGGTATGAGCACATCAGGCCTCATTCTCTGCATATGTGTACCAGGCAGAGAGCATTCTCTTTCACCATAATTACATGGTGATTAACTGCCTTAACTTACAAAAGCTTAGAAATCCATCTGAGTGCAAATCTGGGAATCTTTAATCTTTAGGTTAAATATGCAAAGTAGTTTAGAAAAAAAATCAAGAAATGAATTCAAAGTATAATTGTGCTATATTTGTTAATAGCTTGGCAAGTTAAATTCACCCAAGTGGTAACCCCTTTAAACTTACTTTATAAAACTTCTAAGGGATCATAAAACCCAAAAGTAAATGAGTCATGTCAAAAGGTTGTCCTTGGGTTCTCTGCCAGAGCTATGATCACTCCTGGCCTTTTTGCTACAATAAGAAACTCTCAGGTTATACTTCCTGCTTCCCCACTGACCTGCCTTTTACAGTACTAGGTATGTACAAATCAGATGTTCACAAAGTAGGGAGTGGCCATATTTTCTTTGCTACTGAATCTCAGGTTTATTGCTTTGTCTTACTGTCTTTAAAAGTATTTTAAAAATGCTTACTAAACTCTCAGTCAAGCTTTGCTTTATTGTGTAAGCCTACTATAATTAGAATTAGGTTCAGCTCTCCAGGCGCGGTGGCTAACACCTATAATCCCAGCACTTTGTAAGGCCAAGGTGGGCGGATCACCTGAGGTCAGGAGTTCGAGACCAGCCTAGTCAACATGGTGAAACCCTGTCTCTAGTAAAAATACAAAAATTAGCTGAGCATGGTGGCACATGCCTGTAATCCCAGCTACTTGGGAGGCTGAGGCAGGAGAATCGCTTGAACCTGGGAGGCAGAGGCTGTGGTGAGCCGAGATCACGCCATTGCACTCCAGCCTGGGTGACAGAGAGAGACTCCATCCCCTCCCCCCCAAAAAAGAGGTTCAGCTGCGTGTGACAGAAAGCCCAAAATAACAGTGCATTAAATATCATAAAGTCTTATTTTTCTCTAGAGCTCTTTTGGAAGGTATACCATGATTAAGCATTTTCTAGATCTTAGTTCCACTGTTCTCACATTTCATTCTTGACTTCATGGTCTAATGTGGCTGCTAGAGCTCCATCAACCACATCTTTATTTTAGGCAGCTTTGTGCTATACAGTACTTGTATTTACATCTTATTCACCAAAATTAGGCACATGATTACATACAGGCAAGGGAAACTGAAAAATGTACCAAACTAAAAGTAGGAATTTTACTGCTATGAAAGAAAGGTGAAATGGATGTAGGCCTGTAGTTAGGAGCCTTTGCTACACAAACTACTTAGTTACCTTAATTATGATTGAAGCATCACTAGGGACACATACCCTAAGCTCAATTGCCTCATGAGGCAAATAAATGTCTTGAATGTTCTATTTGCATGTCCAAATATATACTGTGATGATAGCACATATCACAAGGTGTTAAGGTATTAGTCCACCCAGATGGCACATCATGTTAACAGGGTCTTCTGAATACAAATGCTCAACTCAGGGACTGACTCCAAGAGTGGTAACTTCAGGTACTATGTGCCAGAGAAAGACAGATGTGGGGGATGGCAGGACTTTGGTTTATCCCTCAGATTATATTACACAGGCAATTGTGTATTCTCTGTGAACATAAAGCTATGTCTGTATTTTCAATTACAACAGAAACTATACTGAAACAAGCCTCATTTTGTGAAGCTGGGGCTATTGTTAAATTCTATTAAAGTATATTTTATAAAATGTTAAAGCTTCTTTTTTTTTTTTTGAGACAGATTCTCACTCTGTTGCCAGGCTGGAGTGCAGTGGCTCGACCTCGGCTCACTGCAACCTCTGCCTCCCGGGTTCAAGCAATTCTCCTGCCTCAGCCTCCTGAGTAGCTGGGACTACAGGCATGTGCCACCATGCCCAGCTAATTTTTGTATTTTTTTTTTTTTTTTTTTTTTAGTAAAGACAGGGTTTCACCATGTTGGCCAGGGTGGTCTCCATCTCTTGACCTCGTGATCTCCCCACCTAGGCCTTCCAAAGTGCTGGGATTCAGGCATGAGCCACCGCGCCCGGCCAAAGCATCTGTTTTTTTGTTTTGAAGTAAATACATATGTGTCTTTGGAAGTCTTTGGCATCTTGCAAGTGCATCATGCATTTGAGTCGCTGGCTCATTTTCCTACTTTTCTGATTTTCAAAGAAATAATTTTATTGATGTTTTTCTCCAGCAGGTGGAAATCCTAACAGATTCATGCAATGCAGGAAGGAGTTGCTAAGCAACCGTTTCCACTGTTTAAAAAAAAAAATCCAAACAAACCTTCCTTTTAAATACCAGCAGCATGTGATAAATTAGATAACTCTTCATCCAACTTTGAGCAAACTTATATAATTTACAAAAATTATATCATCCATTTCTGTTTCCTGCTCTTTTGTAACTTTCATCAACAATGGCACAATCTTCAAAGATGCAGTTTTAGATCTGGGTCAAGCTAACCGTGGAGCATAACACATAACAGTTAGAAATCCTGCTGTACTCTCAGTTATGGCTTTGCCAACCTGACATCCATTGACATGAGAATTCTTATAATCTGTCTTTGATGTCTTTGGAGTTAAAATTATGTTGGGACAAGTCTTGGGTCCTTCAGAAAAGTGGATTCTTTGTGGGCACTGGATTGTAATTAAACTTTAACACTAGCTCCTTTACTCCCCCAAATAAATTAAGTGATTTAATATAAAAGAACTAGCTCAAGAATTTGGGGATATTACCCTTTCTAGCACCAAGTGCAGCAGTGTGCATTCGGGAGCATTTAAATATATTTATCAGATTTTCTTCTGTGTGGAGGCTGGAGGATGGTTTCCTCAGGTTACAGGAGTACTTTATGCAAAGGAAAAATTGAAGGATCCCTCTAATCAGCCAGTAGCTGATTTCAAGACAAAGGCTCAGAATTCTTCCTAGAGGAAATATTAAAGAATATTTTAGTATTCGAGGTGTGCTCCCTCAGCAAGTCTTCCAAGAGGCTGTTGGGAGTGGCCGCTGGTAAGCTGGGGTAGATACTGTTATGGGGCATGTGTCTAATGCATCTGCAAATACTAGGGATATTGGAAACTTAATCCTGCCTATATCATAAAATTAAATTCTGTAGGAGGCAACCCTGGTATTTCCTAGTCTGACTGGTGGACTTGCATATACAAGGCTGCCATTGATCAAACTAAAAATTGGCAAGGTTTGCCTTTGACCCCTACTTATTTATTCTGCTGGGGACTCACCCAACATTCCTGTTGCCCAGAAATCAATACCAGCACAGGTATTTCTTGCCATTTGAACATGAAAATCTACTGGATTCAGCTACTGTGAAATTCTTGTACTTCTATAGCTTTTTATAACATGAGTTTTCATAGTCCTTATCTCATTTGCCTCCCTATAGCAACACTATTGATAAAGCAAAGCAGAATAATTGATTTCCATTTTCTGAAAAGGAAAATTGGTCATCCAAGTCACGGAGCTGAAATTGGAACCGAGAACTTTCTACTTTCAGTTTAGGGCTCTAGTCATAACATTGCAGCTCATAATTTCTGTTTTGCATCTCTTTTTTAGTGCACCCTGCTAAATGATTGATTAATAATACATTAAAATAAAGTGAGTTAAATTCTCATTGGGTCATCTTAGCTTAAAATGTTGTCCTTTACAGATAACATTTGAATCTCAATCCTGGAATATAATGCTATATTTAAGTGGACATTTAAAGCGTCATGAATTGTTTTGAAGATGGAAGAAAGTATTTTCAGGCAGAATTCTTGAATTAATTAATTAGTAAGTCAATATTGGATGAGTTTCTACCAGGTTACCAGCCCTGGTGTTACAGAAGGAAGCAAAACAGACATAATCCCTACCTTTATGTATTTTACGTCCCAGGTAGCTCATTTGTATCTACAAAATAGATATATTTTGTCTATATCTAAGGTTGCCTTTGCTGTGAAGGTAAGACTATCAAATGCTGGCCATGATAGAGGAGGAAGAGAAGAGAAGACAAGAGATAAAACTTAATTCCATAGGTTTACAAACTATTCTTTGTCACTTCTTTTCAGAGAAGTTTTGCACCACCTAGATGGGCCCGCAGAGGCAGGGAAGGTAAGGAAGATTGGTAGATGCTGGCAGTAAAATTCTTGCCCAGGTGAGCTGGCCTTTTTCCCCCAATTCTAGGACCATCTGTGGCCTCAGAGAGGGGGCCACAGTGTGTGGTGAGAGGGCACTGATGGTGTTGAGTAGACTGGATGTGAGAACAACCAGTCCTGTTTCAAAGTACATCTGCAGAAGTTCTCACTGCTAGGGATCCGGCCTTTACCAGTCTCCTTTCACTGTGAGCTAAGTGCTTGAAGGCCAGTGGGGAGGCCCTAGAAAAGGACTAGGCTGGGGATGAACTTGAGTCCCCTAGTGACTGAAGAAACTTCTTGAAAAAAATCTTTTAAAACAGGAACGCTTAACAGGCAGAGACTGTCCTCCTGCAGCAAAAATACTGTGTAAATCTCGTGACTTGAAAAATTACTAATGATCAATGGTTTTAAAAGATTTTGTCAGTTATACCTGTAATATAAATTTTTATATTAAAAATTCAGTCAAATATAATTGTGGTTCCTCCTCCACCATAACCACTACAATTAAGTGATCTTATAAATGGTACCAATGGTCATACCTGATTAGACACTCATGTTACAAAATCAACTACTGTATTTGAGTAGGCATGTAAGTGACTTTTTCACTGACTCCTGTGTATGTCATTTCATCCATGAGATTAGTAGTTAAGGACTCTGCATGTCTACCCCCCATTGTTAATGAAACAGCTTATTTCTAACAGTGATGATGAGTACTAGTATAGCTAATAGTTGATTTATCTTCATGAAATATTCCATAACATTCATTGGTTTCTACTCTTGAAACAAAACACTTTTAAGCCATATGTTAAAAAAAAAACCCAAAGAACAAAAACTTAGTTTAACATAGAGTCAATGGACCCACATACCTGAAGTTACTCTTCCATGGGAATTGTTCTCTCTGTTGGCCTGGCAGCAGAGAGAACAATTCTCATCATGCCAGGCCATCATTCTCATGACGATGAAGACATGATGATGATGATGATGATGATGATGATGATAAATACCTGCTATTTATTTTAGCACATACTCTCTGAAGGACACTGTGGCACCATTCTGATCTCTTTTTTATACATTATCTCATTTAATTGTCATTTTGACTCTATAAAGGAGATACTATTGGTATTCCTTTCTTATAACTGAAGAAACCAGTGCTCAGATGATTAAGTAACTTGCCATAACTTGCCAAAGAATGTATAACTTGGAAATAAAAGTTGAAGGTGAGTTTAAATGACTACAAAGCCTATGTTCTTTTTTTTTTCCCTTTTCTTTCTTTCTTTCTTTTTTTTTTTTTTTTTTTTTTTGATGGAGTTTTTGCTCTTATTGTCCAGGCTGGAGTGGAATGGTGTGATCTCGGCTCACTTGCAACCTCTGCTTCCAGAGTTCAAGCAGTTCTCCTCCCTCAGCCTCCTGAGTAGCTGGGATTACAGGCACATGCCACCACACCCAGCTAATTTTTGTATTTTTTAGTAGAGGCGGGGTGGTTTCACCATGTTGGTCAGGCTGGTCTCAAACTACTGACCTCAGGTAATCCACCCGCCTCGGCCTCCCAAAGTGCTGGGATTACAGGCATGAGCCACCGCACCCTGCCAAAGCCCATGTTCCTAATCACAGCATAGCTGTAGCAAGTTACCAGAATAAAAATGAAAAAGAGGGGCATTTAAGAACTTTGGGCTTGTTGCTTCACCCACCTTCAGAGTTCCTGACTCCAGCTTAGATCAGTTGGACCCAATTGTACTCCTTGAACTTGAGGGTAATTTTGAAGGTCAGATTCTGGGTGTGTGTGGAGGCAGCACTGCAAGAGGGTGGGAAGAGTCCTGAGGACTTTACCTGCCTTTGATTGTAGTTCCTGGGTGGTTTATAGGGGTGAAGTTTGAAAACCCAGACCTGACTTGTACCCATCCAACTTCAGACTTCCACCCCTCATCACTCCAGTTCAGAACTTGCAAGCAGATTGTCTTCCACCCATTTCTAGAACTGACCTTTTGTATGTACTCTGGTGACTCAGTCCTAGAAGGAAGTTTACTTTCCCTTAGTAAGTGGTTAGTAAACTTCCTTGCTGCACAGATGTCTTTGATCATCTGATAGAAGCTGTGATCTCACTCAGAAAAAGATGCACAACACACTTGCATACAACTCATTATTTATAATTTTAAAGGATTTGGAGACTTCCTAAAGCCAATCCATGCTTCCACTGAGAGGTCAAGGAACTCAAGTTAGGAAGAAATCTTCGGGGATGTTCAGTGTCATAGACAAACGTTTTTCAGTATTTTTTTTCAAGATTATAAAGCATATTGGAAAGCAAGGAGGAAGGGAGAGAGAGAGGAAGGGAAGAAAAGAAGACATGAAATGTCAAACAATATCAACACCCCCCAACTGCTTCTCCTCCAGCTAGAATAACAATTTATGTAAATAATTTTTGAAGATTTGTCTAATTGGGGCAGTTCTAAAAAGTAGGATGGACACTAACATTCAGTTTTGGCCGGTTTGCTATTTTGAAAGGAGACTGCAGCCAACAGGCCCTTAATGAACATTTTTTATACCAAACTAAACTTTTGTAACTTTACGATCTTTAGAAGATGAGAAGCCACACATTCCTCCTGACTCAGCCTATGGTTCTTTCAGCCATTTCCAGCTCCTCACCCTTTTTTTTTTTTTCTTGTTTTCGCTTGGCTTTGTGATGGTCAGAGTCAAAGATTACCTTAGCTGGGGTAATGTGCTATGGCCAGTCTTTGCCACGGGCAACAAAAGTGGGAAACTTCAGCTCCTCAGACATCCCATGCATGGTGGCAAACAGCCCTAAAGCCTCAGCTGTGGATTCCTTTCTCATAGCCCAAGTTAAAAAAGAACAGTGAAGTCATCTGTCATTTTAGTTTCATCTAATATTAGCTTTCCATTCCCAGCTAATTAAGGAGCAATATTTTCTTTAGTCATTCTCCTAGGCATGATTGTATTTAAATAACTTCTCCAGTTTCTTCATGTACTTGTGGAAAATTTTCTCCTTTTCTCTTTATAAGCTAGTAATTTAGTAATCGGCCAATTCTTTAAAAATTGCATGGACTAAAACATCCAAACCCCATCTTTAAAGTTATTCTCAGAAACCAGTAGGTAAACAAATATGGCCAGTGTTTAGTTGCACTAGTTATTAAAAAAAAAAACAAAACCAGCAACGAGGTACTATTAAACAGCACTCCCCCATGAAATTAGCCAACATCTCTCTCTATCTAAATCTATATTTATCTGTCCACATCAGTGTTATCGATGTACTTTTCCATTTGTTTACGTACATGAATGTAGGAGTATAGAATGCAGGTATACATATTTAGACATTATAGATGGCAGGGTATATAGGCATTTGTGCGTCAGAGACACTGTCCTTATCCAAAGAGCCCATGAGTGCTTCTCAGAGATTAGCCAGATATCAGCTTGTTAAACACAGGTTCCTGGAACCCACCCTAAAGATTCTGGGGTAGGGCCTGAGAATTTGTACTTCTAACAGGCTCCCAGGTAATGCTGATGCTGCAGATTCAAGAATCATGCGTCAATCAGCCCTGCTTCAGACTAGTGGTTCTCAGGCCTGCTGCACATTAGAATCACCAGAGGAGACCTTTAAAAAAATACTGATACCTTTGTTGCACTCTAGACAATTAAATCAGCACTTCTGAGACTATTTCTCGGGCTTCAGTAGGTTTTAAAAGCTCCACAGGTGATTCTTAAGTACAGTTAAAGTTGAAAGCCATTGCTTTTAGACCAGTGATTCTCAGACTTGGGTGTGAATGAGAATCTCCTGGAGGGTTTGCTCAACAGAAATTTCTGGGCCCCAACCCCAGAGGGTCTGATTTAGTAGATGTGTGATTGACCAGAGACCTTGCACTTCTAACAAGTTCCCAGGTGATGTTGATACTTCTGGTCCAAGGACAACATTTTGAGAGATGCTGCTTTAAAATTTAGATTCTCATGATGTGTGATGGCTGACTGAATCATAACACTTCCATGGTGTCACTGCAAATTGTCACATTTGGGGAAAATATTGTAGCAATATATATATTAAGAATCATAAACACCTTCATGCCTGTTGATCTAGTAATTCTGCTTTGGGGAATCTATCTGAAGAAAATAGATACGGAAAGCAGCTATAAGCTTGATGTTCACAGAATTGATTTTTATAATGGTCAAAATATTATAAAGCTTAAAATGTCCGTAAGTAGGTGATTGGCTTAATAAATCATGGGATATCCCCATAATGGAATAGTCATTAAAAATGATAGCTGCGAAAGTTAGCAACATGGAAAAGCATTTCTGATTTAAATCTGAATAAAAAATGTATAAATGTTGTGACTTACAACCATGAAAAAGTATACATAGAAAAAGTATCAGAAGGAAAGAAACTAAAGCAATAAAAGTCATGCTAAGATGATGGAATTTTTTTTTTCCTTCCAAATTTTCTTTGACTGTGTTTATCAATTTTATAACTATAATTGCAACTGTATAACAGCACCATATATGATATATAACATATATATATAGTTGGCATCAAATTACTCATTACCATTTCTCTTTGTGATAATGTGGCTTTATCTTGGTTTGAAATAAAATTCATAAGAATCCTGCATTTGCCTGCAGATCCTAATTGCAACTTTTCCTGAGTGACAGCACATGCCCTCTCTACTATGGCTCCTGCTCAGATATTTTCTGAGTGATGCTAATTACCCAGAGGTGACACAGAAAGAGCTTAAAGGTTCCTAGTAGGCAGGAAGCAGCCAAAGGCGGGCGGGGGGGTGGGGGTGGGGGAGATGTTGATTTTTTGGTTTTATGATGAATGATAGAGCATACAATGAAACTCATCTCTATTCACTATGCCTTCAATATCTGAAGGATTTATAAGAAACTCCATTTATATCCTCATTCTGTACTGTTTCACCAGAAGTTTTGAGAGTTACTTTCCTAAGTCACTGCGTAAGACAATATATAACAGATCAAATCCCAATGACTGGAAATCAAATGACTGGAAATATTATTTCAGGAGATTGCTCACTGTAAGTAAAATAGATCTAAGACTTAGATGGCCTGGGGCAATCTTACTTTCCAGACCTTTTTATTACTAGATTGCCTATCATAAACACCCTCTTCAGCTTTGGCCATGCCATCTTTAGGAGTAGACCGTGAGCAGACCTTGAATATCGCACAGAGCTTAAATTGTCAAAAATGTGTATAATACCACACTTGGTCTTTAAGCATTCCTTAATGCTAGATTCTTTTCATTGTACCAATCATTTTTATAGTTTATTTTCTAAGCTGTTGACACTGATACAATGTTCAGAAATAGGTTGTCCTTGGAACTCAGATGGTTTTTATATATCTTCAAAGTGTTTTCTGTATTTTGGAGGGTATATTTTCTATTATTATTTTTAGTAGAAACGTGTTGATTTATAAACAAACTTTACCAATTTACTTGCTGACTGTTGTTTCTTTTATTCCACTCCTACATCGCAGGATAGTTTTACGTTACCCTTTCAGAATAATTTCTCTTCTTGCCAAAGATATCTGTGGATATTAATTCTCTTATGCACCTACAAATGTCATTATTTCCACCCTTTCTAATTAATTAGAGTAGAGAATTCTAGATTTTCCCTTCATACTTTGAAGATATTCTCTACTGTCTTTTGACTCCCTCGCTGCTGCAGCGAAGTTTGCTGCCAACTGATTGTCATTCCTTATGGATAATCTTTTCTTTCCTTCTCCAGAAAGGCAAGAAAAGAAAATCTCTTTTTTCTTGATATTCTTCAATTTTACTACAGAATGTATGAAAGCATATTACATTTTATCTTTTTGTTCTTGTTGCATGTCTTTTTCCATCTGAAGACTTACATTTTTCTCTAATTCTAAAAAAATCCTTAGCTGTTATTCCTTCTGAAAGTTCTATTAGACATATCTGGAAACTTCTCATTAAATCCTATATGTATCTTAATTCTTTCATAATTTTCCTCCATTTATATTTCTTTACTCCATGATCTGAGAGTTTCTCAGTTGTAGCTTTTAACTCATTAAAATGTTATCTCATAACATTTATGTTCAATCAACTCCTCTGAGAATTTTTAAAAAATTGCAGTGACTATCCTTTTTCATTTTTAAAACTTATAATTCTTGTTTTTTAATATTGGCCAGTTCTAGTTTTGTATTCTCTTGTTCTTGTTTCATACGCTCCTATGCTTGTTTTATGGTTGCCATCTTCCAGATTTCTCTAAAGATTTTAAGCAATTTTCTGATTGCTCAAATATTTCTCTGCCCTTGAATGTGACATTTCCTTTTGGTTAGAGTTTTTAACCTATATTATATGATTAAAAATAGCTTTGAAAATTATTCTCTCAAGGTGCAAATGGGTGGATTAAAAACATTATTCTCCACTTAAAAAATTAATGTACACAGGAGCACAGAGATAAATACAAATATTCATCTTTCCATCACTAAAAATAACAGTAAAATTTTGTCATAAATATTTCAAATCATTTTTAGAGAAGTGGATCATTAAGAATATATCTAAAATATAATTTTATTTATCTTTAACTTCATTCTTTTTGCTTCAAATATTTGATCAATCAAAAATTGTTTAAAATCTCTAACGAAATCAAGAAGATAGCAACTTTCTTAGAAAGGCTGATCTTTATCCTAAAGTTGGGGATAATATTTCTTATCCACATTTATCCATATTTGTACACATATATTACACAGAAATTTATTCATAATTTTGTTTCTCAAAATTTACAAATGTGATTTATTGTGTGCATTATTTTGTAGTATTTTTTTTTCTTAGCCATGTTATTGAGATAAATGATAATGCATATGTCATACATTCTTGTACATATCTCACCATAAATATGTCTGAGACTCTCTCAAGACAACGTATTTGAAATAGAATTGCTGAGTCATAAGCTGTGAACATTGTCAGCTTTACTAGATATTGGCAAGTTGTTAGCCAAGCGATTGCCCCAATTTATACCCTCTTCCACCAGCAATATAGAATTGCCATTATTTATGTTGTCATTGATACTTGCATTGCTGATTTTAATTTTATCAGCTTTATTGAGGAGCAATTTACATACAATAAAATTCACTAATTTTAATGTACGATTCTATGAGTTTTAACAAATGTATACAGTCATGTAACCACCACCACAATTAAGATAGAAAGCAGGCCAGGCACAGTGACTCATGCCCATAATCCCAGCACTTCAGGAGGCTGAAGCAGGTGGATCACTTGAGCCCAGGCATTCAAGACTAGCCTGGCAACATGGCGAAATCCCATCTCAACAAAAGCAAAAGAAATTAGTCAGGTGTGGTGGCGCATGCTTGTAGTCCCAGCTACTCTGGAAGCTGAAGTGGGAGGATCACTTGAGCCCAGGAAGTCAAGGCTGCAGTGAGCTGTGATTATAAAACTTCACTCCAGCCTGGGCAACAGAGCAAGACCCTGTCTCAAACAAAACAAAACAAAACAAACAGAACATTTTCTATCACTCCAGTAAGTTCCCCTCATCCCTTTTCGTGGTCAATTCCCTTTCCCATTCCTGGACCCTAGCAACCACTGGTCTGCTTGAGTCATCAGAGTTTTCCCTTTGTTGGAATTTTGCTTGCTTAATGCTCTTGAGATTCATTCAGGTTGTTTCGTATATCAATAGTTTGTTTCTTTTTATTACTAATTAGTATTTCATATAGATACTCTACAATATGCTTATTGATCAACACTGATGGAAATTTGGTTTGGTTCCAGTTTGGGGCTACTATGAATAGAGCTTCTATTTACCTTACAAGTCCTTGTATGCACTAGATAAATGTTTAGAGCTGGAACTACTAAGTTGCATGGTAAGTATTTAGTGTATCAGAAACTGACAAGCTGTTTTCTATTATGGCTGTACCATTTTACATTCCTACCATCAATGTATGGGAGTTCCAGTTGTTCCACATCTTTGTTGACACTTGAAATTGGTCAGTCTTCTTAATTTTAGCAATTTTAGTTGGTGTATGTATTTCCCTAACGAATGATGCTGTTGAACATCTTTTCATGTGCTTATTTGCCTTTAATATAAGCTCTCTGGTGAAGTTTCTTTTCAAATCTTTTGTCCATGTTTAACCAAACTGCTTGTTTTCTTAATATTCAGTTGTAGAAGTTCTTTATATATTATGCATAAAAGTCTTTAATAAGATACATGTTTTACAAATATCTTCTCCCAGTCTCTGGTTTGCTTTTTCACTTGTTTACAGTACCTTTTTAAAAAGCTAAAGTTGTTTTTAATTTTTCTAGTTTTAGTTTGTTATTATTTTACTGTTGTCTATTTTATTTTTTAAAATATCTTTTCCCTTAGAAATTGATATACCCATTTTAGAATACTGATATAGAATGAACAGGTTTTTAAAACCCAATATTTAATTATTAAATACATATCTTACTACACTTAACAGTGATACATATTTAAAAGCAACACTAGATTTTGAAATGGTTTGTGGGTCTTGGAGGTGAAAGTAAAATTTAACTCTTCAGTAATAGCACTGTTTTCTAGGACAGTGTTTTTAGTAGAAATAGAATGCAAGCCACACATATAATTTTAAATTTCCTAGTAGCTACATTAAAAAATTAAACAGGTAAAATTGATTTTAGTAATATATTTTATTTGACACAACATATAAAAAATGCTATGATTTCAACATGTACTCAATGCGAAAATTAATGAGATACTTTATTTCTTTCATATACTCCAGTTAAAAAATTTTTAATGTGGCACTAGCTGCATTTCAAGTGTTCAGTAGCACATGTAGCTGGGGGAGGGTACCATATTGACCAGGGAAGTTCTAGAGAAAAGGCAAACTTTATTTCAATTGAATAAGCTCTTACAGCATCCACAATACTGTACAAAGTGGTGATAAAATATATGAGATTCAACTGTGTGGCCAGGAGAATATAAAAAGCTAATTTCATCTTTGAAGATTTCCTGGAAACACTACTAGGTAGTTCAGTAAAGCTGTATTTGATTGTTACATGCTAGAAAGTGGATGTTGATCCCAAAAGATCCTGCTAGTAACACTTTTATCATTAAATAGAAAGCAGTGGGGAGGCTTTGGGCTAGAAAATCCACATCCAAGTTTCTTTTTCCAGGCCAAAGAATTAATAGTTGAGCAATATTATTGTTTAATAATCCATATCAATGGGGATCTTTTTGAATTGCCTTCCTTGGTTTGATTATCACAAAATTCCCACACAATATAAGAAACTGGGTGTGCCCTCTTCTTTCCTCACCCTGCTCAACAATCCTTATATAAAGATTTCCTGGGTGACTGCATGCCTATTAGAATGACTGACAACAAACAATAACTGACAACGCCATGTGCTGACAAGGACTTGAAGCAACTGAGACTCTTTGCTGGTGGAAAAAGACAATGGCACAGCCACTCTGGAAAAGTGTGGCAGTTTCTTATAAAGAAACAAAGTTAAAAAGTTAGTTTGTTAAACATATATTTATCACATGACCCAGCAATCCCACTCAGGTATTTCCTGAGGTGAGATGGAAACCGAAATTCACACAGCTCAGGGATTGCTAAGGACCAGAGCTGGAGGGAAGCATTGACTATGAGGAAGCACAGGGGAATTTTTTGAGGTGGTAGAACTCTACCTTGATTGCACTGGTGGTTGCATGATTGTAGCATTCGTCAAAATGCATACATCTGTACACTGAAAAGAATAACCGTTATTTTAGATGTTATTCAATTTTTAAAGAAGTTTTAAAAATGTATTGGGTAATTAGTGAATGCTAGGACCAAAAGAGGGGAGGGAGAAAGTATGAAAATAAATACAGTACCAATTTATACAAGTAATAGGATTTGACCTGAAAATCAGTGTTGCCTCAATTTAGTTCAACTCAATAAATTCACATTTGGGTGCCTACCCTGTGTCAGGGATAGATAGTGAATAAGACACAGCTGGCTGCTAACTTCAAGAAGCAATGTTCATTTTTGTGAGACATATGCAGGCATATGATGAACATTTTTATAACTCGCTCTTCTCTGAAGCAAAGCAAATATAGTTCTAAGAATGTTTGCTGCTTGAAAGCAAATCCAAGAATGTTGTTCAGAAGGATACCACATAGTAGAAACTTTTAAAGATTTCTTTATTTCTATGCTTTCTCATATCTGGGATGCCATTATTCTCAGAGTGAATTCCCTGAAAGGTAGGTGACATGAAGTAAAAGAATGGCTTGCTACTAGCAGCAATAGAAAGGAAACTATCATGGGATGAGGATGTGCTAAGATATATTGCACATCTTGGTGTTGATGGTTCCGTATAGGCTTCGACTTGACTGACAACCACTTAATCTTGGGTGAATGACTTGTTACCCAGTAATGAAACCACTTACTCTGACAACTGAAGGCATTGCAGTCCTTCGATCAGCCCAGAAGTCATTCCTGATGGGAATACAGTGGGAGTCCTGGTATAGGTGAATATTCAGACAGCTGCAAAAGTGTTATTTTCTCAGAATGCAACATCCTCTGTGTAGCTTGAGCTTATACACATACATACTATACCAACACTGTTTTTCTTTCCATGCCCCTCATGTTGCACCCTTGCGTTGTATGCTTTCTCACCTTTTCACTGTGTTCTGCTCTATTGGAAGGAAGTGGGCTGGTTAGTTAGCCAGGTAGATAACAGCAGCTATGTTTGCCTAGCATTTAATAGCTTTAGAGTACATTAACCCTCAAACAGCTCTATACAGTGGACAGGGGAAGTGTTATTATCTCAGTTGTAGGAGAAAACAGGAGGTCCAGAGGGGTCATAAGTTGTCCAAGTTGCTCAACAGGAAAAAGATACAATCAGTTCTCAAGTTTGAGTCTTCTGATCAGGGCACTTACCCCTGCACGATGATGCCTCATTATTGATTTTGATTTTGATTTCAGATGCTGTGGGTGCTGACATATCTTTGTGTGTGTGTGCGCACATGCATATAATTATGCTAGAAAAAAATATATTTTGGAATAAACCTACATGTTATCTGTCCTCCACACTGGAGGACAGGCAACAGACACCACACTCTCTAGCACAATGTCCGTGAACAGGAGTTATGCAAACTGGTGTTAAATAAAGGAATCCTTCCTTCTTTTATTCAAACGCTAATCATTGCCCTCATGTCATTTGATATTTTAATATGCAGTTTGGATGCTAGACATGGAACCAGGGACAGTAGGATGGTAGCTCCCTGGTCTTCTGTGTTTAAGAGGTTAATAGTTTGGGACTATTTAACAGTTCACTTAATAGTTTGGAACTATTGGTTTTGAACTGTTTTTCATGGTCAGAGGTTCTCACCTCTGCATCTACTTACAGCAGCAGTGACCCTGGAAGCTTTATATCCACCCTGATTCTTCTTGATTTCAAGGACTTTCCAGGAACCTATCAAACTGGTAAAGGGTTGAAGGACTGGTAGCAATATTGATCTTACCAACATAAGTAGTAGTTACCATGATGCAGTTACTTTAGGGAAAATAAAAAGGCTCTCAAAAGTGTGAATCATCTTCTCACTGGAATCTATTATGTCTCATATTTTTTCTTCTTGGATTAAAATATCTATCATAGATGTGGGGAAAAATTATGTGAGACATTAGGCCAGTATCAGTTTTACTTAAGCACATTTCTATGAAAAGAGACTGACAATAGCTATAAAAATACGTACCATTTATTAAGCATTTAATAAGAATCAACCTTTAATACATTATTTTCTTTACTCCACAACAACCTTCTGAGGAAGTTTTGAATGAGAGACTGAGACTTAGAGGTTAAATAACATTCAGTCAAAAAGTGGAAGAGCCCAATTCAAATTCAGACCTGCCATGGCCATGACTCTGTGATCAAGACACAGACATTTTTCTCAAGTAGATTAAGATATACAAGGGGCTCTGAGAAAAGACTAAGCATGTGGAGAAATAGCAGTTCATGGCAGGTGAAATGGGAGCCACAAGAGGAGGGTGAGCATATGTGCTTTTAGATTTTAGAAGAAGCAAAGCTTTCACTTGGTAGAAGGCGCTAGGGCAGAAGAGGCTTTGTGAAGGTCGTGGGACCTGAGGTGGGGTTGGAAGGAAAGGTAGTATTCCTGTAATAGACAGGCATGTTTATCTGTAGCCTATAAATATAAATATGCTTAAATGGAACATTGATTCTGCATTATCAGCAGAGAACAACACATGCAAATTTTGGCTCTTGAGGTTTTATTTGAAATCATTTCTTGACTCATGGGTCAAAACTCAGGACATTTCTCTCTCTCTCTCTTTCTGTCTCTCTCTGTCACACACACATATACACACTCCTAGTGATTGTGTGCACACATAGGCAAATAGTATAATTAATATGATTTTTAAAATTATCTGCCTCAGGATGTCCTTTTTCTTAGAAACACTAAAAAGCAAAGTGGCATGATATCTGCCATTTAAAAATGATTCAGCAGAAAGTGTATATTTATATATGTTTAAACATTGTATATAGACTGCTCTTTAAAAAGAGTATAGTAAATGGATGAATAGATAGATGATTGATAAATAGGTGAATAATTGGATGGAGAGAGATAGGGCAGGAGAGAGAGTGAAAACAAAAACATGTAGTATGTTAACTAATAAATATAGATTCTAAATGAAGGATATATGGGTATTCATTATACTATGTTTTAACTTTTCTTTGTTTAAATTTTCCATTAAAAAGTTGAGAGAAACATGGGAAATTCAGAAATGGCAAAATAAGTAAATAAAAACAACCCATAACTCTATCTGATATAGCCACATTAATACACTACAACATTTGGATGCATTTCCTTCTAGTCTTTTTTCTAGATATATGTTTTTAAAATTTACAACATTTTGTCATCAAGTTATATGTCCAGCTCTGTAACCTGCTGTTTTTCACTTAGCACTGTGGCACAAGCATTTTATCACATCAATAAAAGCCCTCAATGAAAAAATATATTCTTGATTAAACGTACATGTTGTCTTCTCCTCTTCCCTTCATAGCTAAGTATCTTCAAGAGTAGCTGCTACTTTCTCAACTTCCATTCACTTTCCTACCCACTAAGATCTGCATCATCCCCACTTCTCCATGGAACCTGCCTGGGCAATGGAAACGAACACCATGTCTGGTGGACATGTTTCAGTCCACCTCTTGCTGTTGCCTTGATTTCCTTCTTGAGATTTCCTGCCTTCTTGGCACCACTCTCTCCTGCTGCCTTTCCTGCCTCAGTAGGATTCTTTTAAGCAATTTCACAGGCCTCTCTTCCTCTCCATTTCTTAAGCACTATGCTCCTTAGTGCTCTGTTCTTAGTTTGTGCTCTACTTTTGCTGGCATTCTCACTGGGCAGGAAGTCTAGCCATTCACTTGGTTTTAACTTGTTAAAACCAAGTGAGTGGCTAGACTTCCTGCCCAGTGAGAATGACTTCTGAATCTACCTCTTTATCCCTGAGTTGTCACCTGAACTGAACTTTAGGCTCAGAATCTCATGGCTGACTGGGAAATCCACCAGGGATTTCCACAGTCCTCTCAAGGCAAAATGCAAAAACTGAACTCATCATTGCCATCTCCTTCTCAGCTTCCCCATTCCACTCAGGCACCCTTGCTTCCCTGAGTTACCTATCACAGTGAATTGCTTCATCTACCCAGATTCCTGAGCTGGAAGCATAGAGTCCTTCTAGAATCCTTCCACATCCATAAAAACCAAGTTGTGTTGACTTTCTCTTTTCCACCTCTCTAATCTGTCCAATTCTGTGTTCCTATTGTGACTGCCCTGGCTTAGGCTCTCATCAACTCTTTCTGAATTCTTGCACCATCTCCAAACTGATGTTCCTTACTTGTGCTTGGTCCATTGTCATGCAGCCACTAGAGTGAACAATTTAATAAGAATTCAATCATGCCATTCCCCTCTTAAATTCCTTTAAAGTGTCTCTCTTATCTTTCCTATAAGACAAAGTCCCAGCCTCTTAACATGCATCACCAAGCTTTATGTGACTTGACCCCTGCACACTGGCCTTGTTTCCTCTACATTTGCTTTAACTGTACGCCTCATTATATACATGCATGTAGCTCAACAAATGCCTTACCTCAGTTTCCTTGCTGTTTTTTCCTTTTTAAAAATATTCTCTCCCTACTTCTTGGCTTGGCTATTCCTACTAATTCTTACCAACAAAATTATACTTTTTTTAAAAAAAACAGGAAAGCCTCTCTATACCCCCAATGACAGCTGTGCCCCAACAGCACTCTTTACTCACCATGGTGGGTAGAAGTGATTTGTTTTCAAGCCTGTCTCTTTCTCCACATGGGAGCTCTGAAACTAGGAAATCTATCTCATTCACCTTTACATGTGGAGTTCTGCACCTTACTTGGTCCTTGGCAAGAACTCAGCAAATATTTAATGAATTACATGTCTATCTAAGTAGTGTAGCAGGACAAGCCGCAGACAAAACTCCTCAGACACCGAGTTAAAGAAGGAAGGGGCTTATTCGGCCGGGGGCATCGGCAAGACTCCTGTCTCAAGGGCCGAGCTCCCCGAGTGAGCAATTCCTGTCCCTTTTAAGGGCTCACAACTCTAAGGGGGTGCACGTGAGAGGGTCGTGATCGATTGAGCAAGCAGGGGGTACGTGACTGGGGGCTGCATGCACCAGTAAGTAGATCGGAACAAAACAGGATATCTTCACAGTGCTTTTCTATCAATGTCTGTAATCTATAGATAACCGATTAGGTCAGGGGTCAATCTTTATTTTTATTTATTTTATTTTTTTTCACAATGCTTTTCTATCAATGTCTGTAATCTATAGATAACATAACCGATTAGGTCAGGGGTCAATCTTTAACTACCAGGCCCAGGGTGTGGCGCCAGGCTGTCTGCTTGTGGATTTCATTTCTGCCTTTTAGTTTTTACTTTTTCTTTCTTTGGAGGCAGAAATTGGGCATAAGACAATATGAGGGGTGGTCTCCTCCCTTAGTAGTAGCAATGGAGGTCTCTGAGTGTTTGGTATGTACAGAAAGTATGTTATGAAGGTGATAGGAGTAGGGAAAGTTCTAGTTCATGTCTGGAAGAGTAGGTATTCATAGGACTCCTTTGATTTGGCACAGGATAGCCATCAGATACAGCCACTGCAGGGCAAAGTCAAAGTCAAGAGGAGGTGGTTCAGAGTTAGAAAAGGATGAAAGGACATTTCAGGGAAATAATTATTTTTCTATTGCATATGTCTCATTCACATATCTGGTTCATTTTGAGATTGTTTTAAATAATTATGATGAGTATTTGCACAGCTCTTCATACTTTATATAGGTTTTTATTTCATTATGAAGTCTTTTTTGACTGATTTCCCAGCATCTTACCACTATACCTAGGAGTAATGTCTCCCTTCTTCATGCCCTCTCTATACTTTGTCTGTTATGCTCCTTTCTGTCTATGTGATCTTATTTCAGGCCCAAATTTTAAATTCCACATATTTGCCAATGACTTCCCCATTTTGTTTTTCCAGACAAGACCTCTCTTAGCTCCAGACTCTCACAGCCAACTGTCAAGGTTAGCTAGGCTTGACAGTAACAAATAAGCCTTGAAATATCAAAGACTTGTTACAATAAAGTTTTATTTCTTGATCATGTCTCAGTCCAATGCTAGTTGAGTAGCTCTCCTTCAAGAAGTAACTTAAGGATCCAAGCTTCTTCCATCTTTTTATACTGTCACAATACACATAAAAGGCAGTGTGGAGGATCAGGTGAGACATTACACTACTATCCATTGAGTTGCTTCATCAAATGTCTCACAGTAATCTTCGATTCACCACTGTCTCCATATCCACTATCCCCTGCCATTAGCTCTCCTTCCAAAATGTTTCTTGAATCCATCTATGTATGATCATCCCTATTCCTATTTAATTCAAGACCCTACCATTGCTTGCCCAAATGACCATAGAGTTTCCTGCCTTTTCTCTTGCCTCTCTACAATCTAGTTGCCCACGCAGCAGCCAGAGATCTTTGTAAAACCTAAATCAGGCCCTTTCCCACCCTTACTTAAAATACTTCAGTGATTTTTCATTAAACTTTGAATAAAATAAAAACTCTTTGCTATGTTCTACAAAAGTTTGTGTGATTCACCCCCGCTCACCTCTCCATCTTCATCTTACATCATTCTCCCCCTAACTTACTATACTTAGGTTATGTTTGCCTTCTTTATATTACTAAAATAAGATACACTTGTTTCTACCTTGGGCCTTTAAACTCATTCTTTACCCTATCTGAAACACTCTTTCTCCAGATCTTCCTGTGGTTGGTCCCATCATATTATTTGGGTCTCAGCTTAAATGTCACCTCCTCAGAAAAGCCTTCTCTGATTATTCATTCTAAAGTGGCCCCTGAATCATTTCCTGATAACTTATAGCTCTTCTCAATGTCTAAACTTATTGAGGCATTTATTTGCTTGTCTGTTTATTGTCTCTCTCTCCCTCTCTCAATTAAAATGTAAACTTTAGAAGAACAGTGTCTTTTTGTTTGCTTGTTTACTTTTTAGCTGGTGTATTCCCCAAACCTACAATAGTCTAACACACAGGAGACTTACTAAACATCCATGAATATGAATAAACAACATCCACAACTATTTTTGCACATTTCTTACATGTCTACTTCTGTTACATTCCATGGTTCTTGAGGACTGAGTCCATCATTTTATTTACTTTTTAAATCAGGTAGACATATTTGGATGAATCTTGAAATTGATCTGGTATATTGATCCAGTTTCTGTTGTAGAGAACAGAATCTAGTCTAGCTAGTATAATTAGAAGGGAGCTTATTAAAGTGTAGTACAGGTTTACTAAATTTAAGAGGGCTGAGGAAATAGGCTCTGGATTGAATTTGCAAGAGTATCTCCAAAATTTCCACTCTGGAGCCATGTCACCAAAAGAACCACTAATTTTTGTATGATAAGAAGTTACTTATTGAATTCAGAAGTTTCCACTTTAGCTGCTGGTTTCAAAATCATGGCCGCATAGCCACAAGCAGGAAGCATCCAACATCAGTAACCTTTCATAATCTTAAATCCTTTGCCCCTACTTCTGTCAGCTCCAGAGCCCTATCAGGCCCATTACAATCCATAACAGAAAAATGAATACTCTGAATCCTGATTCTTGGTAATCAGAAAACTAGGATGCTGGGGCCTCTGTCAGAACTGCCACAAAACAACCCTCTACAAATGTGCCTACTAATGGAGGCAACAGAAATAAGACTTTCCTTGCCTGCCCCTTCCATATCTCACAGGAGGGCATTCTGATTGGTAGAATCTAAACACTCTTTGAATCCTAGCTGCAAGGGAGTTTCTAAAATGTAGTAATAGTGTGTTTTTCAGCATTCTAGTCTCTGTGGTATGGTGGGCAGTCTAAAAGAAGGATAGAAAGGATCCTGAGTGCCAATCCACTATATTCATCAAAGCTATGGTTGTTAGACCATTGTCATATTAGTTTTTTATTACTGCATAACAAATTATTTTAAAACTTAACAATTCAAAACAGAAAACTATTATTATCTCATAGTTTCTCGGGGCCAGAAACTCAAGAATGTGCTAGTCAGTGGTTCTGACTCAGTATCTGCAATGAAATTGCTTGACTGAGGCTTGAAGATCCACTTTCAAAATGACACTCACATGATTATTTGCAGGAGGCCTCAATTCCTTTCCGGCTTTTAGCAAGAGGCTTCAGTTCTTCACTTGCTGGGGTGCTTCAATTCTTCATTTTTGTAGGCCTCTCCATGAAGCTGCTTGATTGTCCTCAAAACATGGTATCTGGCTTCCCCAGAGCAGGAGCTCTAAGAGAGAGAACCAGGAGGAGGCCACAAGCATTTTAAAACCTCATCTTGGGGAAGTCACAGACTCTCACTTCTGCTATATTTTATTTGCTAGAAGGAAGTCACTAACTCTAGACCATTTTTAACAGAAGGGGAATTAGACTCCAACTTTTGAAGAGAAGAGTATTACAGAATTTGTGGGCATGTTTAAAAACCACCATGGTTACCTTTACCTATCAAGGGCTGACAGGGCAGGGCGATAGGGACTAGGATGGAAATTTTAATGGAGAAGGGGAGAGAGACAATAAACAGTTAAGCAAATAAATGCTACAGTGAAGGTTGACTTAGTGAGGGATGAACTTTAGGGTATGGGGTGAGTCTGATTGGTCTATGTCAGCCAGAGTAATTGTATATCCCCAGCACCTAGCATGACATAAATGCCACACTATTTAGTGGACATTAAGACTAGTGAATGAATAAAGGAAGGAATGAAGGACTTTTTGAATAGGTAGGTGATGGCTGGATGAATACATTCTAATTTTTAGGATCCTAAATCATAATTAAACTAATCCTTCAAATATGGTGTTTCACATGGCCCATCTGGTTACATTTAGTTCTGTGAGTTGTTTCCTTAACAGTAAGACAAGCATTTCAAACACTTCACAAAATCCAAACATTGTGGAAGACTAATTTGAACCCCTTATGCATCTGTTATTCAGAATCAGCAAGTAGAAGCCCCAGTCAAGCGCAGGTCAATCACCCCACATGCTCTAGATGTTATTAAGGAGACAGCCATTACTTTTGAGCAGCAGAAAATGTGCTCATGCTCTTGGCTCAGTAAATTCAGATGGGAGGAAAGGTGACTGTTATTGTTCTGTCTTACTTTCTTTCTTCAACATACTGAATTGCTATTTTTAAAAAGTTGCTTCCTGTCTAGCAAGGTGCAGTTAATGACAGCAGCAAATTTCTCACTCATCAATCTGAACTAGCAGGTCTAAACCAGCACAGCACTTTTGAACATGCTGCTGGTGAGAGAAAACGGGATGTCAGACTGGTCATCTTTGAAAGGCTTTCTTGAATCATATGGCTAGGTTTCTGAAGAGTGAAAAACAAGCCTCGAGGTGAGGGCATTCTGTAGCTCAGGTGATGAGTTTTGAGAACTTTATTGAGCTCCCCATTAAAATGTTGGCATTGGGCATCCAGTCTTGTGATTTGCCTCAAAGTTTCTGCTTTGAAGACACTGGATTAGACAAGCTATTATAACAGAATTTTTAAAAATCTAGATAACGTATTCTACAGTTAAATAAAAGCATTTTCAGCATTTATTTTATTCAGCATGTATTTACTGAGCTCTTATTAGAAACTTGCTGATGTGCTAAGCCCTGAGAATGAATATAGGGTGAACAGAGAGAAAAGGCTATTGCCTCTGAGGCCCATAAAGGGCCAGCTTTTTATTCTTGGCTGAAAACCCAATACAGAACCCAAATAAGGCCTTGGACTTTTGACCTCTACTTGGTCTGGCCCAGAACTGGAAGATAACTTGCTTTTGATAGACTCTTTGGAATGAAACCAAGGGGCCTATTGCCTAACGCTACCTCATTCGACTTGTTGCTCTACTTTCAAATTCATAAGCAAGCACTATTAAAGCTGTGACTACACGTCCTTTTCAACGAACTTGTCTCTGCTACAGGTCCTGTGACCAACACGGCAGGGCTTCGCTCCTGGTGCACCATGCTCCGCGCGGTCAGGCGGCCACAAGCCATGCTGTAACTGTCAGTCCATAGGATGAGTTGGAATTGTCCATGCTGTAGATGGCAGGAACCTAGAAGTCGCTCTTCTTAACGGCAGACGTTATCAGGGAAGCTCGAAGGATGGCACCAGGGTCCGTTTTTCAGCATAGTTCCCTTTGGATGTGAGCTGTGTCTCACAGTGTCCATCGGTGTCCTTCTCTTCATGGTCACAAGGGAGGTGTAGCATCTGACGCCCCATAATTCTCACATTCTTGTCCTGAGAGTGAAAGCTTTTCCTCCCTAAGGCTTCAGCAAGCAGGACCTGGAATCCCGCTGCTCTGATTGGCTGCATGACCTATTTTAAACCAATCACTGTGGCTGGGTGGGTGGGACACTATTAGGCTTAAGCCAATGAGAACTCTTCCACCGGCGCTGGGCATGGGTCAGTCCACCCAAGCTACCGACCAGAGAGGTGATTTTTTTAAAGGAAATTTGGGCACTATTTGAACAGGAATAGTTATGGATGCCTCTGCCACCATCATTGGTGCTCTCAGCCTTTTTCTTTCTTTCACTTTAAAAAAATACTTTGGCCGGGCGCTGTGGCTCATGCCTGTAATCCCAGCACTTTGGGAGGTCGAGGCGGGTGGATCACCTGAGGTCAGCAGTTCGAGATCAGCCTTGCCAACATGGTGAAACCTTGTCTCTATTAAAAATACAAAATTAGCCGGGTGTGGTGGCACACGCCTGTAATCCCAGCTACTTGGAAGGCTGAGGTAGGAGAATTGCTTGAACCTGGGAGGTGGAGGTTGCAGTGAGCCGAGATCACGCCATTACACTCCAGCCTGGGCAACAAGAGTGAAACTCTATCTCAAAACAAAAACAAAAACAACAACAAAAAACAAAAAAACAACAAAAATTATTTTTAAGAACAGCTTTAGATTTACATAAAAGATTGGTAAGAGCACATAGAGTTCCCATATTTCCCCTATTCCCAGTCCCAATTTCCCCTATTATTAACATTTTACATTTTATGGTACTTTTGTTACAATTACTGAACCAATATTAAGACATTATTATTAAGTACGGCCTGTACTCTAAGATTTTATTTTTGCCTAATGTCTTTTTCTTTTTGAGGCTTCCATTCAGGATACTTTATTACATCTAGTCATCCTGTCTTGGCTGTGGCAGTTCTCTTACTTGCCTTGGTATCTCCCCCTTCTCCTTGTGACTTAAAATCTAGGGTTAACTTTACCAAATCAATGTGCCCAGCTCATAGTAGGAGTTGGGGAAATTATTCGTTGAATAATAAAAGCTGACTTTTGTATTCTCAGTTCATTTAATGGTTTTAGGAATGTTCCCTTCATGAGCATTTATACCTTAAACTAGAATCTGAAGCCAGAGGGGACAGTGCTCTGAGCATGAAATTACAGGTTCAGTTGTGGGGGAGGACGTAGTGATGGGGTTGGGAGAGGGAATATTGTATTTAGCCTTTGGGGACTTCATGGCACATCTGAATTCATACTATAGATGCAAGCCTCTGTAAGGTTCCACATTATGGGGCAGAACTTTGACATGATAGAGAGTAGGATGCAGAAGATAGCCATCTATGGTGGTATGTTTGGGAGGGAAAACTACTAGCCAAATAAATAATAGTGACTACGGGTAACTTGCTTCATCCTGCCAAAGGAAAGGTAAATTTAGAAAGAGAGGGTGCAGTTCAAGTACATGATAAAAAGTTATATAGATATATTTGCATTTTTCATACCCTTTGAGGCTGGGGACAAGGGGACAAGGATTGCTAATATTGTTTATTTTGGTTTAGCTATCTATAATTAACAAATCAACGTTTAGTCCTTTACAGTTTGCTAACAGCCCCTATAACCTTTAGCACTGGAACATTCAAGACCAGTATTGTTCTAGCAAATTTTGGCTCTTTCATCATTTTACTCTGCACAAACTTCATTCTCTGGCACTAGAGGGAGATGGTGACAGGTGATTCCTGAAACTGATTGGAGTAGACAATGAAGCTCTAGAAACTAATTGTGTGTACTTTGCTGCCCTAGGGTCGTTTTAGTGGCTGATATACTCCCACCCACCACAGCATCTTTGCCAAAGAACATTGGTGTTTAGTCTTTGCCAAGAGTAGGAATTTTTAATCCTCTTTCAAGAAGACTCAGGTTTGGATAAGGCAGAGAGGCCGTCACTAGTCGTTCCCCTTCTGAAAAGAGGTGTCTGATCTTCTGTGGATCCAATCTCAGGCTCAGACAAACCATGAGCACTCCTGTGAAGCAGGCAAACCTGGACTTCCAAGTCCTAACTGTTCTTTCCCCTCATTGCTGAATTCTGATCTCTCCCTCCTCAAGTCTGCACTTATGCTAGGGTTCTTCAAAACTCACTCAGGAAAGGGCCTAACAAACCCATTTGTATCAAGATAGGAATGCCTGAAAATATTCACCCTTTGTCAAGAAGTGAACCCTTAATCATAAAGATTCAGGCCTCAATGAACTGTGTCTATGGCATGGAGGATAGATACAGTTTTAGGCAGGATCCCTTCCATCCCAGTGTTCCTGATACGTGGCTGGCCCTAAGTACCAGTTCCCTGTGTGTGACCAGAGGATTAGCACCCTGCTCAGCTGCAGTGGGTGGAAAAACCTCTCCTTTCTCAACCAAGACTCTTCTGGATTTGTGCCATCATTTGATCCTGGGATCTTGCAGTTCTCTCAGCATATAATCAAGAAAAACAGCCATCTGTCTCACTGCCCTGTGTTTCAAATGCAAGTTTTCAATTCAGCAAACATTTCCTGAGCACCTACTTCTGCCAGGGCATGTTTAAAGCTCTGGGCTAGATTTGGTAGTGCTGACTTCCGAGATTTACAGTCTCATTAGGGAATGCATTCTTCTCTGGTAATGGAAGGACACATGAGTGTTAAGGTGAAGCTGAGGAGAGGCGCATGAATCATAAGTAGGAAGGACTGCTTCAGAGGCAGCTGGAAGTTTAGCAGTGCCTTGTTGCATTTGACAGGAATTGAGGGATGAAAGGAAAGTCATTCCTGGCAGTAAGACAGCCGTGAGGTACATACTTGGATGAAGCTATAGCTGAAGGGAGGTCAATGGAGTCAGCATCCTGGGGTCATTAAGGATGCAGCACTGAACTGAGATGGACCTGTGTCCCGGTTCTAGCTTCACTGCTACCTTGGACATTTTGCTGAACTTTTCCATGCCTCATTTTCCAATATGAGAAATGTGGATAATAATAGTAGCTACCCTGTAGGCTTAATGTCAGGAGTAAAAGATATTTAGGTTAAGTTCTTGGAAAAGTTCCTAGCACATAGCAGTGGCTCAAAAGGTGTTCTTGTATAGTTAGGGGAACATTAGACATTGTACCAAATAAACCTCCACATTGCAATGCTTAACACAATAAATATCTATTTTTAGTCATATTTCAGTCTTATGCGGATGTTCCTATTCTCAGGGATTCTTGAATTCAATGACTTTACTGCCCCCAGGAATCTCAGTGCCCTTGACATGTAGTCAACAGCAATTGGAGTGGGGAAAACGCAACTCCTCCTAGCCTTTACATAGGCCTGAAAATAACATTTCTTTTTTTGGTGGAAACGGGTTCTGCAGCCCTAGTTGGATGCAGTAGGTAGTGAGAAACACAGTTCCTGGCTAGACGGAGGCTTCCCAGCACCTTCTCTAGGCTCAGGTTGGAGGAGCATGGGTTTAGGTGTACAGTTAGCCATCCCTGCCTCAGTTAAGATGATGAAGATGAGGAGGAGGAGGCTGGGGTTGGATCATGGAGCATCTTGGTTTACAGACTGAGGACCTAAGATGATTTTGTCTAAAGACATTAGGATTTGGGGGACAGAAATGGTATATCTCATTAGACACCATCTGAAATTCATTGCTCAGTTTTGATTTTTCCTCAGGGTGGGAGGGTGATACTTCCTGAGGCCGACAGAACAAGTGGTCATCGTGTTTTCCCTGTCATTGCTGAAATGAAGTGGGCGATGGGATTTATAGCCTATATAAGGCTTTGAGTCAGTTTATTAGAGTGAGTTCATGCAGAGGGTTAGCCAAATAGCCCTCCAAGTTGAGAAATAATAACACTGCAGCTTTATCTCTGCTTTTATCTGAGGAGCTACAAAGTACTTTACAAAGCCTGACAGCATCCCCCTAAGGTGACTAATATTATAGCTATTTTAGCAGGGAGATTTTATCTCTGGTACAAGTTAGTATAAAGCCATTCTGGAAATACTCTGGCCAAGGTTAAAAATTCTATTTGAGAAACGGAGGCAGTTGGACACAAGCTCTGTTTCCCATTCTTCCCATTAGGGACTATATAGAAATCTGTATTTTATCATTATGATGATTTTCCTGTTGGTATCTTTGGTACATTCCTCCATAAAGGAGACCAGTGAAGCCATTGAAACCCTTCCATACATTTTCATCAGAAAATGATTTCCCTTAGGAAACTGACCTTTCCTCCTCAGAGAAGTGACAGTCCTATAAGTTCAAGAGGTGAGAGCAAAATCTATGCTCTTAGAAAAGTTCATGCATGACTATGCCAAAAGCTTTAGTGAGACTTTGCTGTCCAAGGTGACTTTCTAGATGATCTTGTTGGTAAAAATCAGAATTTTGGCTTCTTTAGGCATACTCTCCCTGGCATCTCTCTCTGTTTAAATGTTATTGATAATTTATGTGCTTTGGAGACAGATCTCTTTTTAGAATCCAGGCATTACCTCTCCTATCAAGGGCAATTTTTGGGGTGGAGGGCAGTTTTTCTTGTGTTCATTACATACAAAACTTGTATCCTGGTGCTATAGGTCCAGTCCCTCATACTCTGAGATGGATATTTGCATGCAGGGAACTTCTTGGGGAGTGGTTTTATGAACCACATACATAAGAGAGTGAAGGAAGCAGAGTTGCGGAGAGGTAGAAATTGAACTGTGAAGCAATTGTGACAAAGACCTCAGCTAGTCCTACTGGGAACTCTGGAGCTAGCATGGCCCTTCAGAGTTATTTGGAGTTGAGACAAAAGGACCTGGTTTTTGATCAGCCATTGCAGTTGATTGCCTGTAGAAGGGGGCGGAACCTTAGGCAAGGAGGCCCTCTTCAGCCAAGAGCAATTCCTTAGAGAAATTATATTGTGCATTATCAGTGGCCATTGCCTGGCGTCTGGGGAAATGTGTGTCTTGGTCCTGAAGGGTGGCCTGGACAACACACCACAGCATGCACTACAGGTTATTCCTTGCATGCTCAGGTTCACTGTCTTGAAATATTAAGTTACCTCATCTGGGAACAGGTCCTCAAGAATTCTGGTTAGCCTCTCTCAAGGGGAAGCTTACAAGAAGAAGGTTAGAAGAAGAACCTCAGCCCTGCAATGCAGCTGGTCTTAGGGTCACAGCTGACTCTCACCATTTACCTCCTCTAAGATCCATTCTAGTTTCCTCTCATCCTCAGCTAGCACTTTTGCAAGTCAAAGTGGCTTATCTTGTGAGGCAACCCAGACGGTCATCTCTAAGGGGTCTTAAACACTGGTCACCATCCTTTTCAGTCCGTAACTGCTACATTTGACCTTCAAAATTGGGTAGGAGAGTACTGACAGATACCCTAGTAGACACATGGTCTGCGGAAAATATCTCTCTCTGCAAACCAAGACCTACAGACCTAAAGAGCTTAGAGTTGTGAAGATGAGACACAATTTCACCAAGTGGGTTACTAACAGTGATGATAGTGGGACAACTTCTCCATCTACCTAATGATTCTAGATCCATATATTCTAAGTACTGGTGGTGTACTGGCCTTGAAAGGTGTTATTTCCAATCTGATACCTCAGGGAGTCTTCCAAAGGTCAGCTGAGTCCAGCAGCTTCTGGGATGTTTGATATGTGATAGGAGCAGTGGTCCCATACTCATCTGAGTATACCCATATGAGTATGCCCTCTGCTGCTGAGTATTTCTACCTCTTCCCAACTCTGCTTCACTCTAAAGTGGTTTACTTGGTTTAATGTGATGTTATGTGTGGTTCCATGTTGGTGGATCAAAGATTCTGTAAGAATCTTGTATGGTGGTACAGGCTAAGAACTTATGAGCAAAGGAAGAAAATCTATACCCAAAATATGTGTTAATTCCAGTCAAAATTATTCACTACCCCTTTCTATTAGAATGTAATCAACTTGCCACCAGTTGGATATTTGGTCTTCTCAAGGGATAGTGCCATATGGAGGATCACTGGTCCTTTTCACTGGCAGGCGGGACGTTGGTCAGCAGTGAAATCTAGATAAGACTTAGTACAAGGGACCTCATGATGTCTGGCTTATGTGTACTCTCCAACTCTACCACCATGGATATTTTGTTTTGTGACTGTTGTGCCAAAACTGGTATGGCTGATGACAGATGCTGACTTACATCAAATCCTGTCTACTTGATTTTCAAGGGGTATAGATGTCCAAAAACCCTTCAGACATTTTGATATTCCTCTTCCCTCTGTGTATGGTTACTTGAGTAAATGGTCATAGGTCTTTTGGGGGAAGAACTGAGGAAGTAATTACCATACACACTTGCTGTGGTGTTACAAAATCCTTTTGCTCTGTAACTCAGCCTCTTCTTCAATCAATGGGCTCTAGTCTGAAAACTTGCTCAGATATGAAATTGATGAAAATTGTGTGAGAGATTTTTACTGAAGAATTACCCTTGACCTCCTGATAATCCATCCTTAATTTCTCTTGATTACTTGGCCATCAATATCCTGGTTGGCTGCCCGTCTATCTTGCCCTGGAGACACTGCATTATATTAACCATGTCGATAGCTCTCTGTATGTTAAGTGCCACTGGTAGCCATTCTGACTTCGCCATTTGCTATGATAATTGTACCCACCTTGTTTCTGATGATTCCTGTCAGATCCATTGCTGTAAGGGAGCCCAACACTGTTGTTCTATAACAATATCTCCTACAATTAGCCCTAGATTAGAGAAGGTGGCCACTGTCAAGCTTCTTGATGTGCTTGTAGCTTGATTAGCAGTGCATTTCTTATCATTTTAGATGCTCAGAGTATCCTTTGATCCCTCTGGGTTCACTGAACATAGTTGACTGATGGGTTTTCTAGCCTTGCATAGTATATCTATTTTAGCATCCTACTTCTTTGAACCATTTGATCTTTTCTTCCATCTTCTGCCATGGCAATTATGGCATGACTTATTGTGAACCATGCAAGCTTCCTAGAGTCATCCTACAAGGGTATTATTACCATCCCCCAAAGTCCTTGGCAGGATTTAAATTCTGTATCACGACTGGGTGTGGTGGCTCACGCCTGTAATCCCAGCACTTTGGGAGGCCGAAGTGGGCAGACCATGAGGTTAGGAGTTTGAGACCAGCCTGGCCAACATAGTGAAACCCCATCTCTTCTGAAAGTACAAAAATTAGCCTGGTGTGGTGGCATGAGCCTGTAATCCCAGCTACCCAGAAGGCTGAGGCATGAGAATCATTTGAACCCGGGAGGCGGAGGTTGCAGTGAGCTGAGATTGCGCCATTGCACTCTAGCCTGGGTGACAGAGCAAGACTCTGTCTCAAAAAAAAAAAAATCTGTATCACTGGAGCACGTTTCCATATCTATAAACTCTTCCTTAATTCAACCTCATTTGTACTCCTTGATCCAGCACCCTGAGGATCCAGTCCTACATACTGTGCTGACTCTGCTGGTATGTATTGCTAGGTCCTGTGCTCCTTCAGGGCATAGTGCCTTTCTTCTCTTAGAAGACCCAGTGCTTCTCCAGCTGGTTATGTTAGAGCTTGACCCTGGTTATTGGTTTGGTGGCCAAGAGAGGAGATGGGGGTAGACACTGATGAAGCCCATATTGTTTTTCAAGTAAATAGTCTGCAGTATTATGGTCAAACAATGGAGGAGTGGTAGCCTTTAACAGGGAGGACTGGGCCTCTTCTGTAAGCTTAAATGGTTCAGTGTGATCTGGAGTTCCAAGAGTTTCAAATATGCCAGACCTGATGTCCCTATTACAAGTTTCAGGGTCTTATTTCTTCCCAAACAGTACCTTACTCTTCTGTTGTAAACTTGCTAGGGTAGTGAATTCAGCCTTCTCTGAACACAGGTATCCTTACGATTAAGTACTCAGCCTGATTCTTCAGCATCCTGGTATAGACCAGCTTAATCTTCCCAGTTGAGCCTGAAACATAAAAGCTATCACCCCCGTAGTGCAATTGAGACTTGAAGGTCTATCAGACCATCTCTTGAGAAGAAAAAGGAAAATTAGTCTATTTTTGTTGATGGGTCCTCAGTAGCAGAAAGACAAGACACCAATAATATCTCAGTAATTCAACCTGTTGCTTATTAAGTGGACAGTACAGTGTCTTGCATAGGATAAACACCCAATGGTGACAATCAGGATAATCATAGCAAACCTTTATTAAATGTTTTCTGTATGCCAAACACTGTTCTAAGTTATTTTCACACATTAGTATACTTACCCTACAATTAGCCCTGTGTGGCAAATAGTGATATAATCCCCATTTTTTAGATGAGGAAAGTAAAATACAGCAACATAACATAAGGAAATTTCCCAAATCCACACAGCTAAGTAAGTAGTGGAGCTGTGATTTGAACCTACGCCTAATTTCAGAGCCCATGCTCACAATCAGTACAGTATTTCACTCCAATTGCTAGCAAATGGTAGCTATTATTTTTATTGTATCTTCTAACAAGTCTCTGATATATAATAATGTTATAAAAAAAGGACTTTGTTAGAATTTACATTTGAATCTACATTTTAATGGATGGAGCCCATTTTAAAATAAGAAATCCTAGGTCTTTAGTGTCTTTCTTTAGGGATACGGCTCCCAAAATTGGTATCTGTTAGAATTGCCTGGGTACCTTTTAAAACTCCCAACACTCAGGCCACATGCCAGAACAATTCAGTCAGAATATCTGGGAGTAAGACCCAAACATCAGTATTTTTTGGAAGTTCTCCAGGTGATTACAATATGCAGCCACATTTGAGAACTGATGTTCTGGGCCCCATCTGCCACTCTGCCTCACAGCTGGGCTCTGCACTTGGCTTCCTTTCCTCTCCACAGGGTCTTCCTAAGGGAGCACATTCATTGTCTACAACTGTAATGGCTCATGTCTCTTTCTTAGTTCCCAGTCTTATTACTGCCCTACCCCTATGAAGCAGACACATTATTAATTCCCATGTTTCAGAGAAATCAAGGCACTGAGATGTTATGTAACTTACCCAATGTCACAGAGCTAGGAACTAGCAGAGCTAGGATTCGAACCTAGGCATTCTGATTCTAGTCCATGTGACTGACCATTAAACAATACCACTACTTACTAGACATAGATATCGCCATCCATTGCTTGAATTTTATGTGCCAAACTAAACTCCTAATTTCCCTTATCTCCAGCCTTCTGTGTCCCACCCACCCCCCAAAGATGAAAACAAATGTTGATCATTTTCTGTACTCTTTGTCTTCATTAAAGGCACCTGGTTGGTCTTTCCACCTAAAATTTAAGATTGATCCTGAATTCTTCTACTTCCTTTGCCACTTGTATGTAAGCAGTCTATCAGAACATTAGGCAGAGATAAAAATATGAGCTGACAGGAAGGACCAAGGCTTTTCTGAATGAGCAGTAGAGTCTGACTAAAGTGAGGAAGTGGGTGTAGAAAGTCCAGTAAGAGCTTCATGGAGGAAGTGAAGAGTAATTAAATACTAAAATCCAATCAGTTGTTACCTCCTATTGATTCTGCTTCTTCAAAATTTCCCACATCTGTCATTTCTCCATTGTCACTACCATTGCCCTAATTCAAACCTCCATTCCCTCTCTTCTAAGCTATTGCTCTAGTTTTTAACTATTCTCTCCTCCCTTCAATCTGTCTTTGATCCAGTTAAAGCTGGCTGAAACACAGGTCTGGCCATGGCATCCGAGCCTTCCCTGGATCAGCTGGTGAGAGGAACATTTCCAAATGTAGGGATAATTTGCATAGAATATTAGAAAACATAGAAAATAATGTGCATTGATCCAACAGATTTTCTCCTGAAGGAATAGAGACTATGCAAATAAAAAGTCTAGTTATACCTTGCAGATCATAGGATCCAGAACAAAGGGTCACAAACTCAGTTGCTTACAGGGCCAAGTAGGAGAGTATGGGGATTAAGAGAGATGGGGGAACTGAGACAAACTGCAGAGTTGTAGCCCTGTGCAAAGGGAGCAGCTACTCTCAAGTAAGCACATTGTTACCTTGTGGTACTGTGGACCCAATGTGGTCAGCTTTTCCTGTTTTTTTTTTTAATCAGAAGCAAGAAATTCAATTTTAATATGATGTCTTTTGGTTTTTAAATGTTAGAAACCAAATCAAAAATTTTTTTTTACTATTATAGCACACACAAACAAACCATGCCCATGGGCTGATGTGTTCTGTGGCCTCTAGTTTGCAACCAGTGGTCTAAGGAAGGTTGTTTTCTCCTCCATGTACTCTGATTCTCTGGTTGAATTATAAATACCCTGAGGCCATGAATTTTAAAAGTAGGTCGTAATGAAAAGTGCTTTCTAGCAATCTCTGAAATGAGCCTTTATCCTATTAAACAAAGAATGTGTGGCAGAAATTGGGAAGTTTCCTCAATGGTTATAGGGTAACTAGATGGACTGTGAAATTTTAATCAAGTAGAAAAGCATGTGTACTATGCTTTTTTCTGTACCACCATTTCCTTGCAGAGGCAAGTTTCTCTGATTCTGAACAAATGGAAAAGAAGAAGGGAGAAAATAATGATACCTAACATTACTGAGCATCTAGTATATGCAAAGCATGCTGGTTGGTAGAATAAATATGGTTTTTAGAAATGTACCTGAGGGAGCATTTACTTCCTGAGTGTATTCTTCATATAAGCAATAGGCTGACATGAGGATGTGAAGAAAATGATGAAAAGCTATTATCTTTGCCATTGAGATACCAGTAGTTAGACTGTTAGGTAAATGGAAAAGAGAACAATTTCTTTCATCAAAAAAGGGAGTTCAGTGAAATAAAGTAACTCATCAGAGACCACATAGCTAGGAAGGGGATGAGTTAGACCACTTGCCTGTTAAGACTGTCACATGAAAGGTATTGGCTGGAAAGAGCCTATTAATGTGTCTTGGCTTCTTTTTGCTGTATTAGACAAGATAATCAAGCAAAAATTGGTTGGTATGAGATTCAAAATGGAAGGAAATGTAGAAATTTAGAATCCAGGAACTGGGGGCTTCACTGGGCTTTAAAAGCCAACTGCTTCTGAATTTAAGTAAAAAAAGAGAGACTGAAGAATACATTGAACAATAGAGTCTTGGAAAATCTTTGCAGTTTGATCAGACAGATTTCCAACTCATGATCTTCTCTTCTTCTGGGTATCTGCCTCCATTTACCTGGCACAGTCAGAAGAAGGATTAGACCCTTTAAGAAATATTCACTTAGAATATTCAAAGAAATGTGGAATTCTCCTATTTCTGGATTCAGATGTCTAAAACAGGAAACATTGTGGTGGTAAGTTTAACTGTTGTGTATTCAGATAGTTGTAGTAGGCAGAATAATGGCCCCTCAATGGTTTTGATACCTTAATCTTCCCAGGAAGTGAATATGTTATATGACCAAACAGACTGCAGATTTGATTAAGAACCCTAAGACCAGGAGATTATTCTGCATTATCTGGGTTGGCCCTAAATGTAATGACAAGGTTCCTTAAAGGAGTCAGAGAAGATGTAATGACCAAAGCAGGTGTCATAATTAAAGAAAAAGTTGAAGATGATGCACTATTGTCTTTAAAGTTGGAGGAAGGGCCCACAAGCCAAGGAATGTAGGCAGCCACTATGCACTGGAAAAGAAACAGATTCTCTCCTAAGGCCTCCAGGAGAAACAGAGACGCTTAATACCTTCATTTTTGCCCAGTGAGACCCATTTTAGACTTCTGAGCTCCAGAACTGTAAAAGAATAAATTTGTGTTGTTTTAAACTACTAAGTTTGTGGCAGTTTATTACAGCAGCAATAGGAAAAAATACAGTTAAAGCGACAATCATTGATGTGGCGGGAGGAAAGCTGGTCTCTATCTTGATTAGATGGGTTATGAGGGTACTACTCAGAAGAAACATTCATCTGGAGCTTACAGGAGGGACCAAGGCTTTTCTGAAAGAGCTAAAACCTTAAACCATTATGTGTGGAGCAGTCCTGGACCCATGATACTGGGTCACAATGGTCTAATGATTAGAGTATAAATCTCAGTATCTTCAAAGTAGTCCAGTTACAACTTAGAGAAAAGGACACCAAGACCCACAGGAGCAGCATAGTATAGTGGCTAAGAGTACATATCCTTGAGCTAGCTTTTCTGGGTTCAAGCTACTTCCTAGCTGTGTAACTTTGAGTAAGATACTTAACCTCCCCATGCCTCAGTTTTCCTTCTGAAAAATAGGGAAAACTGTAATTTATTCATAAGATTGTTATAAGGAGTAAACGACTATATATATATATATATAAATCTAAATTATATATATATGTGTGTGCATATATGTATGTATGTGTTTATACATAAATATATATATATATATCACTTTGAACAATGCCTGGCATGTATTAAGTCCTTAATAAGTATAAGCTGGCACTACTACTTGCCACGTTGAGAGTGAGTGGATAACATTGAGATTCATAGCTGGTTATTGGCACAGCCAGAGCCGGTATCCAGATGTCTTATCTCTTGATTAAGAGGCCTGTTTCCCTGTTGACAAAGTGACCTTCTGAAGTAGCTGGTGGAGGAGAAGCAATTAACCACCTTCTAGTGGTATGATCATGACTGTGGCATCAAAGAGGAAGTGGAATGGCCTGGTTTAGCCTGCTCCCTGGATTTCTTCATGAATCAGTCAGGGTTATTTTGCTGCAACCACAGGAATTTCTTGAGCTGACTTAAATGAAAGAGAATTTGATAGGCTTAGGTGGTGTTGATGCAGGGAGGGGACTTGCAGAATTAACGGGAAGCCTGGAGACCTAGGAAGCAGAAGCCCCAACCACCATCCTCCAGCAGGAAGGGACAGGTTAGGGTGTGAGCACTAAGTAATCTGATTGTTTGGTCCTTGTGTCGCCCAGCTCAAGATTCAAAGTCCTGGAAGAGAACATCTAATTCATTGAGCTTCAGTCATATGCCTTTCTCCTGGCTGTACTCGGACAGAGAGGAAAAGGATATGGCTTCTGGCATCCCTGGCATAGCAAGACTACACTCAAGACTACATCACATCTTTACTGATTTCTAAAAAGCTTCCTGGACAGATGAGGGGAGAAGGCTAGTGTTGGTCGCAGGCTGAGGGCGGGGTCCCACCTGTGGCTGAGCTGAGTGAGATAGAAGTGTGTAGTTGGGGGAGGTGATTAAAGAAGGAAATATAGGAAATTCTGTGTTCTGATGAGAAGTTTCCCTGTATAGATTAATGATATTTGTAGAACTGAGCCTGGAAAGAGACAAATATAAGAAAGAAGTAAAGAAGTATATGTAGTAAAAGCTAAGAGAAATTTCATCAGTAATCACACAGAGGGCTTGAAACTGACCTGGCTGGGGCATGAAGTAAGAGAGTTAGGGAGTGTGCTTTTTCAAGAATAAAAGGCACTAGGATTGAAACTGAAAAGTAATAGGCTGATTACATTTAATAATTGTATAAGAAACTGTACTTACCATGTACATATGCCCACATAAGTTAAAATTAATTGTAGCCTGATTTAGTAGTGCTACATACAACAGATGCTACTCTGTAATTCTTTTGAAAAGTGAAGATTTGGGTTTTATATGGTAGTGTGATTTAGAAAATGCCAAACAAAGGTATTTTGTAAACAAGCACGTTAGTGGAGAAAAAATGCGACTTAGAAAAAACATTATCAATATTACTAAAATATGATTTTATGATATTTTTATCAATGCATCTATGTAAGCACCAATGGGTGATTCTTTGTGTATCTCTGTGTGTGTGTGTGTGTGTGTGTGTGTAAAAACCATTTATTTTGGAATGAGTTGAATGGAAGCTCAAGTCTGCTGAGAACTGGAAACAATAGAAACAAAACTGTTGATAATGATTCTTTTTTTTTTTTTTTTTTTTTTTTTGAGACGGAGTCTCGCTCTGTCGCCCAGGCTGGAGTGCAGTGGCGGGATCTCGGCTCACTGCAAGCTCCGCCTCCCGGGTTCACGCCATTCACCTGCCTCATTCACCTGCCTCAGCCTGATAATGATTCTTAATCTGCTTTTTTTATTGTGGATTTGGAAGTTTTCTGTTGTTGTTGTTGTTACTCTTTTCCATCAGTAAGTGAACAGGTCACTTATTTATTGGGCACTTTGGTGCTAGGTTGGTGAATAGGACTTGCCCTCGTGGAGCTTATAGTTTGAAAGGCCTGTTTTCCAATGCACATAACGTGGAGCACAAAATATACTACACTGGAAGACAGAAGACATGGGTGGGTTCTATGCTGGTTTCCTCTAACTAGTATGTGAACTTGGGCAACTCATTTCACTTCTTATTGGTTGAGTCCAATTGACTCAAGTTGCCTGAAATTGTTTGCAAACTCATGTGTACATGTATGTATATATTATCTGGGGGAGGGTGTCCATAGTTTCATCAGCCTCTCAAAGATCCATTTGTAACTTTAAAGGCTCTTTAAGATTCTAGTGGCTACAACTTGTCCTGAGTTTTAAACCCCAGTTCCCATTTTGAAATCTTCCAAAACAAGAACAGTTGCCAGCCTGAGACCTGGAAAGAAGGTGAAGATAATTTGGTGAATCAGCATCATTTTCTAAACACAAAACTCAGGGCCAGATGTTTTATCAAAACAGAAGCAAATAGAAAAATAAAGATGCAATTTAATAGCAAGTTCCTCAGTTTCTGTCCTCTGGAGGCATTTCCATCCATTTGTCTCAGTTTCCCAGGTGCTTCCTATGGATCCTTTCACATTCTTGCTCTAGGTGCCCAAGTGGGTTCTCTCTTGAAGCAGATAAGGATATAGCGGTGGCTGTTCCTTCATGGTTCCTCTTGGTCCTGTTGGCTTTTCCTAATCTGCACCTCTATTGCCAAAGCCTGCGGAATGTTCTATAGTGGCAAGCTAAGCAATTTTTATTTTCTTTTTTATGTATATATTTTTAGAGACATGGTCTTGTTATGTTGCCCAGGCCAGTTTCAAACTCCCAGGCTTAAGAGATCCTCCCACCTTGCCTCAGCCTCCTGAGTAGCTGGGACTATAGGAGTGAGCCACCGTGCCCAACTTAAGCCAAGCAAATTTTAAATACCAAATCACTACTCTTGTTTTGGGTCTGTAGAACATAATTTCACAGATTGCTGGGTGTGCCTTTTGAGGAAAGGAGGGAGCCACCTCAGTCAGCTTTCTTTTCAGCTCAGTGATCACAGCTGAGCCCACAGACAAGTAACATAGATTCTTTTTGATAAGGTACAATGGGTTTTTAATTGACTCTTACATTTCTAACTGCTTTTTGACCCATACCTGATAACTGTTAGTGGATCTAGCATTCTTGGAAGTGTGTCATTAACAAAATCTCTTTCTCCTGGCTATTTTCTCTTACCCAGAAATTAAATAACTCCTTTTCCTCCTTCATTCAAGATGTAAGCTCCTGGTGTCATTGGAGGATTTAGGGAGGGAGTTTTCCCTTTTCTTGGGTCATCTAGTATGGAGTTGTTTACTGAAGGGACTCAGAGCATGGATTTGAGCATGTCAGCAGCAGTTATGGAGAGTGTGGTCTGTGAGGTGATTGTGCTCCCTTTAAAGGTGAGGAAATTGCAGCTCAGTGAGCTGAAGAGTGATAAGAATTCAAATTTACAGCAGTAATGGGGGCTGGATATTCTGGGTCTTAGGTCTTCTGGTTTAGTGTGTGCTCCTTCTGTGACAGCATGGCCACAAACATCACACTCAATTCCACTCCCTTTCCCAGCCGTCTACCCCATCACCACCCTCCCCTCCTAAGAGGTTTGAAATTTCTGTCATTAGAAGTAACTCATGCATCAAACTCTAAAGGTAGCCTCATAGTCTCCACAAGGCACTGTTAAGTGTGGATTGTAGCTGAAAAGAGAAAGACAGGGGAGGAGGTGGGTGCTGTATCAGTGTGTGTGTGAGAGAGAGAAGCGGGGAGGTGGGAGAGGAGACAGAGGGATTGAGCAAGGCTAAGCCCTGCTTATGAGAGACAGAGGCACCTCTGAGGGCAGGTCACCAAAACGAGCACCACTTTCCAAGTGGGTGTAATTATAAGATGGTGTACCAGGTGTGTGAGAGGTCTGAGTCCCCAGATGGGAGGATATTCAGTCCTTGTGTGTATGTCAAGAGCAGTTTTCTGTGGCTATGAGAAGGTTGTGTCCCTGTGTGGTAAGAGGGCAGGTTCCTCAAGTGAGAGGGTTGAATTTTTGTATATTTAACAGGGTCAGTTCTCTGTAGCTGTCAGTGATCAGAAGGTCATGGCTCTGTGTATGAGAGAGAACCAGGCCCCAGTAGGCATAAGAAATACAAGGCCCATGGGTACAAAAGAGCTGAGTCTCCACCTATGAAAGGCTGGACTCCATTTATGAGGCAATGAAATAGTTATCTACTGCTGCATAACAAACTTCCTAAAACTTAGTAATATAAAGCAATGACTGTTTAATTTTATCTCACAGTTTTGTGCACTGGAAAACTGGGCAGGGCACAGTGGGGATAGCTTCTCTCTGCTCCTTCTAGACTGCAGCCTCAGCTCCGATGGCTCAAATAACTGTAGATGATTGAATGGTTTTAGTGGGGCCATATATCTGTCTTCTCAGCTATGGCTGTTTCCTGGTTCTTCTCTAGATTGCACCTGCTGAGGCTGGAATATTTAGGGGACTTCTTCTCTCATGTCTGGCACCTGGGCTCAGATGGCTAGAACAGTTGAAGTTGGCCAGTCATCTTTTCAAGTGGCTAGTTTGAATTTCTTATGTGGTGTCTGGCTTCCCCCAGAGCCAGTGCTCCAAAAGACAAGAAGTGGAAGCTGTTAGTTTATCAAGGCCTGAGTCCAGAAAATATGCAGCATCACTTCAGCTATATTGTATTGGTTAAAGCAGTCACAGAATTGGCCCAGGTTCTTGGAGAGGGACCATAGATTTCCTCTTTTAATGAGAGAAGTGTCAAAGAATTTATGGCCATCTTCAATCTGCCATAATGATGGATGAGTCTTCTTATAAATAATAGGGCCAGGTCTTCAGGTAATTTGAGAGGACAGAATCTGTGAGTGTGAGTGTGAATGAAGGTAGGAGAATTGACAAAACAGGGAAGTTTCTGAATGGGACTAAAAGAATATGTGCCTCTTCAATTTGCACTTTACTTTCTGCATCTCCTGTGTCCTTGATGCTTTGAAGGGGTAGCAGGCCAGGGATGTCCTGCTATGGATGTCAGATTGCACATCATGAGGTGGCAGGTCTTCCTTATCTTCCACTCTGGACCTGTTCCTCCTGGTCTCACATGTTTGTTTCCAGGTTGACCAGCAGCAAGTAGTTCTGCACCATGCAAAGTCTCTCTGCAAGGAGTTTGGCCAATTGCAAAGACAGAAGGAAGAATTCCCAAGAGATTCTCACTTCTGACACCAACCACAAGTTTGGGGGCTTCTGAAAACTACCCTCAGGTTTCAGAATTTGCTAGAAGGATTCACAGAACTCACTGAAAGAAGTTATACTCATGATTATGGTGTATTACAAGGAAAGGATACAGATTAAAATAAGCCAAGAGAGGAAACATAGGACAGAGTAAGGGAAGTACCAAATATGGAGCTTCTGTGTCCTCTCCCTGTAAAGTCAGGACATGTTAGTTTCCCAGCATCAATGTGTGACAACATACTCAGAGTACTGCCAACCAGGAAACTGTATCCAAGCCTCAATGTTCAGAGTTTTTATTGGGTTCTATTATGTTGGCATGATTGATCAATTGTCTATGTGATTGATCTCAGTCTTCAGGTCAACTAACACTGTGTGACCCAGAGCCCCAACCTAAATTACACTGAAGGTCTTCCTGGAGTGTCCAGCCCCAACCCCAATAATATTGTTACTAATTTGACTAACTCAAGGGCCTCAGCCAAATAAAGATTACCTCACAGCAGCTGAAGGCAAAGGCCAGACATCTTTTTTGGTAGGGTTAAATCCTTTACTACACAGTCTGATAAAGAGAAGGCAGCAAGCTATGTGGAGGGGTTTGCTTCATGTGAGTACTCTTTGTGACATCCAGGAATTAGGATGACATGTTTCTCTGTGGCAGGCAAATTCTGGCAAATTGACTGTTTCTGCTTCCAAATTATAAAATGCTTCAAGTTTCTTTTCCTTCTCCATCTGCTTCTCCTGTTTCTGTTCTTCTTTTCAGTGTTCTCTGCAGCCCCCTACCCAACCCTGGACACCACCTTTCACTTGTCAGAAACATTAAGAGAATGAACTGAGTGGGCAGTGCCTTAATTTCTCTCTGCCACAGATTTTTCTTCTTTTCTTTATCTTCTCTATTCTTTGCTTCCTGACTGGGTAGAGATGGGAGTGTTAGCCTGGGCCAATCCCTCCATCCTGAAAATTTCTTCTTCCATTCACTTCTCTGAATCTTTCTTCTTCAATTATTCCTTGTTTTCAGTTTCAGTTTCTCCCTTTTCAATGGAACATGCTAAAACCCACAAACTCTTCTTCTAGCCACCATTTTCAGTATTTCACTATCTTCCATTTTTAAACTAAGCAATTTCTTCCTTTTCCGTTTTTTTCTAGCCCTCTCCACCAATAGAATCACAATGATTGCAACTGGTATTTATGTGGTGCTGAATAGTTTACCAAACACTATTGCATGGCATGGTGGGACCCCTTGTTTTTGTGTACCTAGTATCTGTTCCCTTTCTTTAGGTAGCAACACCCCAATTTTGCAAAAAATGCATTGTCCAATTTAGGACTAATAATCTTGTTGGAACTGTCAATCAAGATGTTCACCTTGATCTTGCTGTGTGACCCTGGCTGATTATTCAGGGTCTCTCTCCTTGAAACTGGAGTCTTAGCTGAGGAATCAAGATTGAAAGTGGATAATGTGTGTTCATCTTTGTGATTCTGATAAAACAGGTCACATATTAGATTCTACTACCACATTCCCTAAACTTGCCTTTTTCATGTCTTTTCCCAAGACCTAATTCTTAAGCTTTTCTTTTAATTCTATGAGCTACCCCATATCCTTTTGATACATTCTTCCTTTTCCTGTAAGTCAGTCAGTCAGCTTCTGTTGCTAGCAACCAAAGAACTCTGATAGCCCCTTTTGTTTGATTCTTCATTAATCACATATAAAGTAAAGGAGATAAGTAAAACTAATATTTACTGAAATTTTCTAGTTTAGATCTTTCAAGTAAATTTGAAGTTTGAAAGGTACTGTACCTTTTCTAAAGTCTTGTATTGTTTTATCACTTCCAAATTTCTTGAGATATTTGTATTTGCTGACTCCCTAATCTAGGCTTCTCTCCATTCTTGAGCCCTACTAATTTGGTTTCTGTATCTTGCCTTCCTTTAAGATTCTGGGGTATTATTACTCAGTAGCCAATATCCAAATAGACTTCTACTGAAACCTAGAATTACTATACAAAGCTTCTGAGCCCAGTAGCCTTTGTTCTACATGCAATGCTAGTGGAAGGCATTGTTACACTTAGTGTCTATTTACAGCCCCTATTTTGTAACTTCCTTTTGCTTTCATGCCATAAAGCCAAACAATTAATTTCATAGTTAACATTCTATAATTTTCTTCTTGCTTCAAAACCCTAGTGGCCACAGCATTCAACTGTATATAGTCATGAAAAACTGTAGAAAAAGGCTTTATTGTTTTACTTTCTGCCAGCTTTTTTTCCTATTAATAAAATATGAAAGTTAAGAGCTATAGCATTTCAAAATGAAGAGCTATGGGGAAATTCAAGATACCATAAAATGATCAAAGCAAAAAATAAATGTCCAATATACTGTTTTGAAAAAAAAAATAGATGACTTTGAAACTCACTTGTCTGTTGTTGCCTTGATGGGTTTCAAAACTATTGCAGCTCTGGTGTCGTGGGGGTAAGCAGGCCTAATGGAGTCATATTCTCGTAGAAGTTGTAAATAAGATTTCTGATCATTCATCAAAAGCTGATAAAAAGGGAAGTTCAGTGTTTAGGGAATACAGCAAAACAAGGCTAGAAAGTTGTTTTAAGAAGACCTTTTTGAAAACATTTGTGGTAGTTCTTAGAAATCTAGCTCCATCTGGTTGGTGTTGGGAGGGGTAATAACGAACTTTATCTCAAACCTTTGGGGCACTTAGAAATTACGCTGATTTTTCCAGTTTGCATTCCCAGCTGAACAAGCTGAAAAACAAATGCAGGCAGATCTTCTGACTTCATTTGTACACATTCGAACAAAGCAAATACACAATAGTTTGGAGGCAATTAGGGCTATGGTGCAGAGCATCATTATTTTAAAATTTATCCTTTAGCAGAGTTGTGACAAGATAATGAATGTGCATTTGCCGGTATGGGAGTGGAGCAACTTAGAAGGGAGAAAAAAAATGAGCTCATTGAGTCTTCATGGACCATCAAGTCCAGAGACCTTTCAGTGTGAAAGAGTCCTTTGTTAGTGCCTCTGGGGAGCTCCTGACAGATGATAGAAAGGGCCCAGACTATTCCTCAAGGAAAATCCATCCTCAGAATAACTGCACAATGCTCAGCCTTTGCTCCCAACCTCATCCCAGCCCAGCCAGTCCTGTGGAATGCTTTGCGGTTTCCAAGCTGCTCTACTCTCTCTCCCTCTGTCGAGAGAGACCAGGTCAGCCATCACCTACCCCAGCTGATGTGCCTGCAGAGTCCACAGATTGGTCTGCCCACACTCTGCCCACTGACAGTATTCTCTGTGGTATTTTTGGCTCCTACTGTTCTCCTCTGAGATGAGATAAGGTGCAAACCTAAGCCTCTTTGTTGGCATCTTGGGATCTTGATATTTTTCAGCCCCTTTCCAGGGTACTTGTCCTCATCCAGGATTCTTAAATAATGGACTGAGGTCTACTCAATTCCTAACAATCCTCATTTTGCAAAGGGGAATTTTCTTTTCTCCAACTTCTTAATTGTGAGGGGTCTTTGGATTAACCCAATACTGTTACTCTGTGTAGTGGGTTGAATAATGGCTCCCCAAAAGATATTTTCATGTCCTAACCCTTGGATCCTGTGAATGTGAATTTATTTGGAAAAAGAATCTTTGCAGACATAATTGAGGATCTCAAGATCTTTTGAGATGAGACAATCCTGGATTAGGGAGTATTCTAAATCCAATGACAGGTATTCTTAGATGAGAAGAGACAGACACAAGAAGAAACACAGAAAGAATGCCATGTGAAGACAAAGAAATACATTGGAATGATGTCAACACATGCCAAGAAACACCTGGAGCTGATAAGTAAAGAAGGAAAGGAAATACTGGGTAGAAGAGGGCAGAGTCCCTGGCAAGGGTTTCACTCACAAGCCTGAACCCACGGCCCTAAATGAGAAATTCACATCCCTGTTTTCCCACTCAAATGTTGCCTTTCCCAAGACCACCCTGATCTGCCACACCCCCTGATCCTGTACCCATAAAAACCCCAAACTCCACTGGCAGAGGAACAGAGGGGTGTGGCAGAGAAGAAGAGAAGAGAACAAGTGGCTGAATGTCTGGAGGAGAAGCAGCAACTGAGCATCAGAGACTACAGTAGATGTGGCTTAACTTCAGATGGCACAACTTTGGTGAGGAACCCAGCCAGAGATGGCTGGGCTTCAGGGAAAGATCACTTTCTTCTCGCACCATCCCCCTTCCGGCTCCCCTTCTGCTGACAGTCACTTCCACTGCTTAATGAAGTCTCCCCATTCACCACCCTTCAAATCTGTGTGACCTGATTCTTCCTGGACAGACGGATGGCTGAGAAGCTGGAGGAGAAGCCAGGTACCAAAAGGGCAGGGTGTCTGTCACCCTGACCCTCCACTGAGCTGGTTAACACTTAGCTATCCACAAACAGCAACTGCTAAAAGGGCACTGCTTGTAACACACGTCCTCTGGGGCTCCAGAGGTCATGGGCAACCACTAGACACTGCTGTGGGCGGGTACGGGGGGTTGTTCCTGCCAGCGCCTAACAGCACTTACCACAGCTCCTGCACCCACTCACCTGCATGCTCTCCCTCCCACAAGGGGTTTGAGCTGGAAGCCAAGCAAAACAAGCCACCTCTGTTTCAAGTCCTGTAAGGGTGTCAGGGAACTCTCCCATCTCAGAGCCATCAGAAGAGCCAAAGATCCTCCTGTAGAGCATTTGCAGGGATGCAACCCTGCTGACATCACTCTGAGATTCAGAAGGGTTGGGTCTGCCTCCACCCTTGAGTAGTTTATATTGTATTTTAGTTGATAGCACAGGGCCTAAATACATTTTTTAAATGTCATGTTATTACAGAAGCTAACTGTGAGGACAGACACAAGGCACACCAAAATAAACTGATAAAACTAAGAAAAAGTGAGGCCATGAACCCAGAGGAAGGGACAGTTGGGTGGCCTGGAGGGCCTGCCATGATCTGAAGGAAGCAGAGCCCAACCAAGGGTGGCCGATGGGAATGATCTTCCCAGTGCAGACAAAAAGGAGTGCCTCGTCTGTAGGGAATGTAAGAAAACAATAAAATCAGCTAAAAATCACTCTGCTTTTTATTTTTTATCACCAAGGGCCAACAATTTGAAACAATGTCAGTAATAAAATGATCCTCCCCACAAATCTTTCATTTGTGTAAGTTTTAAACAATTGCTGCACTACTGCTGAGTTTTAATACTATATGTGTAAACCTCCAATTAACCCATTTTTGTCACTTAGCCTTTCATAAACATTGTACTCTAGTAGAAGTTAATTTGAGTTATATAGTTGGCCCCTGAAATGTGCTTGTTTTGAGATTAAGTGTGTAATGGTAAGGAATGGTTTGAGGTCATTTTGGGTGGTGTTTATGTCTCTGACTCCTGTGGTACTCATATCCCTGTGTGTGAATAATAGAGTCATAAGAAGCAACAATCACACATGGATTCTAAAGACAAGGAAATAGCTTCAGTTACTTCAGTTGTATCACTCTATGCAACCATTTTGAATTTTTATTTGTGATTGATCACTTTTTTCTTTGAGACTGAGTTTCGCTCTTGTTGCCCAGGCTGGAGTGCAGTGGCCCAATCTCGGCCCACTGCAACCTCCCCCTCCCGGATTCCAGTGATTCTCCTGCCTCAGCCTCCTGAGTAGCTGGATTACAGGCATGTGCCACCACACCCCGCTAATTTTTCTGTATTTTCAGTAGAGTTGGGATATCTCCATGTTGGTCAGGCTGGTCTCAAACTCCTGACCTCAGGTGATCCGCCCACCTCTACCTCCCAAGTTGCTGGGATTACAGTCATAAGCCACCGTGTCCGGCCTCAAATTTTAAAACTATGAAATAGAGTGCAAATTTCAAGGAGTACTATTTGTGTTAGGTAAGTGCAAGTTTAACTCATAAGTAAAATATTTTACTGAATTTGAATATCTTTAAAAATGAAATGAATTATTTTAAATCAATTGAAAACTAAAGAGCAAATCAGTATGATTATTACTGATTATCAATGGCTATTTCTGAAAATATTGTATTGGGGGAGGTATTAAAAAATGATCGTTTCTGGGTGTCAAATATGTGAAGTACACCGTTGTGGATGAGGAAGGCCAGGAAGTAGATAAGCATTGGTTCACTCCTCCAAATTTAAATCTGTTGCTTAAAATTATCCTAGCCAACTTGAAAAGCATTTTAACAAAACCTTTGCAGCAAACAAGGAGGTTATGTAGATTATTAGGGTGACTGTATATTCTGGTTTGCTGAGGAAAGCTTCAGTTTAAGTGGTTGCCCACTGTCATCATTAATAAAACTTCTTTTCCCTCTCAAAGGTGTCCCTCACATTGGTCACTCTGTAGATGAGGGACAAGTTGTGCCCACACAGAACAAAATTTAGAATCTGAAATACTGTTTTTAGTTCTAAAGAGATGAATATTAAGGATTGCCTAGTAGTAAGAATGGCAATTGACAACTTTACTTTCAATTGTGAATTAATATTAAATAGCCAGTGAGTAGTGAAGAGAGACCATGAGTCTGTTTAAATGGCAATAAGGTGCAACTCTTTTCATTGGTTGGACTTGCAGATGAGTAGTGTAGAAGAAAAGCACTGGTGTGGATCATCAAGTTTCTATTTCTTTGCTTGACAGTTTTGAAAGGAATGCTAGAGTGACGATATACAATGTAGACAGAAGAGAAGTTTGAGGGTGAAATTTGAAAATTATCAAAACTGGAGTCAAATCAAGGAGAATGGAAAGGGAGGCCATGCCAAGTATTGGAGAAGGCAGAGAAATGTATGTGGTGGACGGTGTGGGTGAGAGCAGCTGAGTTCAGTAGAAAAGTGTCTAACTGCTGAGAGAATAAATCTATATCCTGAATTTAAAATAAAATCCCAATGTGACTTAGATACTAGATAAGACCAAATGATGCAAGCCCATGGGAGAATATTGTTCCACAGAGTAGCTGTGAATGGAAGCCACCATAACTGTGCTGTGTTCTTCTGTGTTTCTTTGTCTTCGTGTGTGCCCTTTTGGATAGGAACAATTATCCCCCTGCATTAGCTGAATAAATTCTGAGCTATCTTTTAAAAGAGAGTGTAGTGTGATGGCTTTAAGCATGAACTTTGGAAGTAGAGTACTTGTGTTTGAGTCCTACCACTATCACTTTGTAGCTGCGTGGTCCTATGCCAGTCAACCTTGGCACCTCAGTCTTGTTATCTGTAAAATGGGGGTCATGATATTGCTTACCCTGGGCAGTGGTTGTGAAGATGAAATGAATTAAATGTTTGGTACTTAGGATGAAATATGGATCCTGATAAGTATTACATAAATGTTAGCAATTGCTTAAGACTAGGCTAAGAAATTACTTCCTCTTGAGAACAATTTCTGGCTCTACTTCCAGGCTATCATGGGGCATCCTCCAATAAGGCCCTGTGTATAGCATGCCCTACACTGTAATGATTTATTTTAATTTACCACTCATATTAAACTCCTTCCACTAAAGATTGGGTCTCACAGATTTCTACAGCCCACTGTCTAGCTGAGTTCTTCATAATAGTATGTGCTCGATAAATATGGATTAAATGGATGAATGAATGAATGCTGGCAATTCATCTCTTCAGGTCTCTATCTTTGAAAGGGAAAATACTCGAAGGGAAAATATTAAGCCAACTTTTGTGGCAGAAGGCTGTGAAAAGAGGAATTTACTCCTCAACCACTAAAACCTGACTTTTGCCCTCAGTATATGACTAGACTGGAGGAGCAACTTTTGTTGTCACCATAAACATCCTTCTGTAGTAAACACCAGTAAACACTTTTCTTTTCTTTCTTTCTTTTTTTCTTTTTGTTGATATTGGGTGATTTATTGAGCGAACTTACAGACAGAAGTGTGGTCTTAGGCAGCAGCAAGGCAGGTAGATCTCCACACTGCTGCTCCTCAGACCCAAGGCTTCTATTGTACAGGGAAAGGGGATGCCTGCTCCAGTAAGACGATTAAAGGGAATCCTCCAGAACAGGTAAGAATGCCATATGTGTCGCAGCCCATAATTTGTGGACAGCATCAAGTTTGCTCTGTTCTTACACTAGTTGACAGTCAATAAAGTAAAAACCAGGAGGCATTCATGAAGCTAATCAGAAATCAACATAGCAGATTAGCATTCAAGGTGGAGCCACTTTTGTCTCCACGGGTGCTGACACTGAAGTGGGTCAAACCATCTGGTTTTATTCTAGTTGCCACCAATCACAAGCTGCATGACTTTGGACAAGGTGTTTGGCCTTTCTCATTTCTGTTTCCAGAGATGAAATGGATCTCAAGGCGCATTTTAAGGAGTTTCAAGTTTTAAAGGAGACTATATATATTGAAGCATTTCAAAACTGCAAAGTACTGTATAAAGAACTATCACTGTTTGTGTTTATGTCAACAATTGAACTTGTTTATGCTTCATATTGGTATGAGAAATTTTTATTTTCATGCCTTCTACTTTCTGGAAAAAAAAGACACAAAACACCTTCCTTGAATCTTAGCTCTGTCACTAGTCATAATGCTATTTTGCTGCATAATTTACGAATGAATTTTTAAAGCAATGGACCCCAAATATTAACTTAAAAGTCTCCAAAATGACTTCCTAAATCTTAGATTCAATCACCTTCTTTCAAGTTCCTCAAATCAGTTTCATGTCATCACAGTTTTCCATTCTTAACTTCTTTATCATTTGTGGCCTCTTTTTGGAAACTCCTAAGTTGACTTCTGTGACCCCATTTTCTCCTCCTACTTAACTGGCTGCTGATTTTCAATCTACTTTTGGGGCTTCTTTCTTTAACCTGTCCCTTAAATGTTCATGTTCCTCAAAGTTTTGTCTTTATTCCTTTTTAGTTCTTACTTGACACACTTTCCCTGGGAAATCCTATTCATTCCTATTACTTCCTGCTGATTCCTAAATTTCTATCCCTAACCTGGACCTTCCCCTAAGTTGCAGACCTGTTTGCTGGACATGTCCATCTAGACCTTAAACTCAACATGACCCATACACAAAACATTATCAACTCCATTCCCAGCTCAATCTGTTCACTCTCCCTCCTTCCATTCTTATAAATGACACCATTATTCTCTCCGTTAATGGAGTAAAGAAGTTGAGAATTATTATAGACAACTCTCCCTTTTTTCCTGGTACAACCTGGGGGTAGCTCCAGCTGTTTGGCCTCCTGATGATCTCTTGGCTTCACCCCACCTTCTCTAGATCCTCACTGTCGTTGCCTTAGTTCCTTAGTTCCATATCTTGCTGGAACTACTCCAAAAACCTTCCTATTCAGGTCCTACAGGATTCACTGGTTTTTTAATTTAGTTATTTGGCTTGAAGTTTCTAATCAAATGAATGTTTCAGATTCAGGCTTTTCACCTACATAGCATAGGCTTTAGATCCCTGTCTTTCAATGACTCAATTTCTACATGTGGCCCAGGGCAGGATGCTGGCAATGATTTTCCTCCACCCATTCACATATGTTCTAACTTCCTTCTAGCTCCCAGCCCTATAACATAGGCCCTTTCCATCTTAGCACCAGTGTGGGGCCTGCACAGACATAAGGTGAAGTATGCGTCCAATCTACCTTTCCTGTGAGCTACAGGATTTCAGCTCTGGCTCATATCTATGACTATTTGTTCTTTCTTTGTTTCTGGCAGCTGGAGGTTTTTCTTTCTTATTTTTGAGTTTGGCTATGTATCTATTATTTAAAAACTGTATCCAGCAAGTCTATGTGTTTGGAGCCACAGGGCATATTGTTACCCCCTTTCAGTCTGCCACCCTGATGGGAAGTCTGCTGTTAAAAGGTCATTTCAAAAGAAGATATTGGGGAGAAAAACAAATCTTTTCCCACTATCCTTCTAAGTTATTGACTGGGACCCCTATAGTAAAGACAGGTGAACAAGAGAAAAGTGTACAAATTTACTTAGTGTAAATTTTACACTACTTGGGAGCCTTCACAAGGAAATGAAGACTCAAAGAAGTGGTTATACCTGAGTGTGTTTATGCTGGGCTTGATGAAAAATGGAAAGTCATGGAGAAATGTGGCTGAGACAATGGAAGTATGAAGTAAGCATAATAAACTAGGGGAAAGACCAAACTTAGCAAGTCCTGTTTTTCAGATTCCTCTTTTCCTCTTCAGAGACAGGGAAGCTTCCTTCCTCCAGGACTAGGGAGGACACCTTTACCATGAAGGTTTAATGACCTGCTCAGGTGAAGGTCAGAAAGTTCTTTCTGCATGCTGTTTCTCATATTCCTTCAGCTTAAAATATTGAAATGCCAAGGTGCCATATTTTCCGATACTTTGTTCTCAACCCTATTAAGAGTAAAATCATAACTCTTATACAGATTTAAAAACCAACATACAATGAGAAAACCAGCAAAGGCGTTACAACTGTTTCAAAGAAGTAGAAAACCAGACACATTTATAAATCAGGAATATTTAAATGAGTGTGCAAATGGAGGTAAAATGAACTTCCATAGTAGGAGAGAGAAGTCAATTGAACTTCCACCAGACAGGACAGTATTTGTATATCTGTAGGCAAGAATTATTTTGCATTGCTATCAGTTATCTACAATTTTCAGACTTGAAAAATAGCTCAAAGGCAATGAACAGCTGGACTCAGTTGAGAAGGATGTGCTGGATGTTAACAATGCATTATTTTTTTAGTGAAGCACAATTTTCTCCTACATTACACTGTAATGATTTGTTTCATGTTTGTTTCCCCTACAAGATCAAGTGCCTCTCAGGAATAGTGGCTGTGTTCATGTCACCACTGTACACCCAGGGCCTAGAACTACTTACATTATATTAGGAAATGTCTCACTAAGTGCATATGGAATAAATTTATGCATAAATGTCTCTCTAACTGTAAGATTTTTCTCCCTTCCCTTGAAGAGGGAAAAGTTTTGAGAAAAAGAAAGCGTGTGTGTGTGTGGGGCGGGGGGTGGGTGGATGGAGAGAGAGAAAGAATTGAGGCTCTTATGCTCCCTACACTCTTCCCTCCTGTTAACTCCAGGCATCCAATGGGCTTGCCACCGATTGTCTAGTGTCAACATGTCATCAGTGCATCACACAGATGTAGGTGAATAGCAAATGAGAGATCCTTCTTTTTAAATTGTCTGTCAACCAGGTCTAATTTTTTAAAGCATATTTGCTGAAGTATCTTTCTTTTGATAAATAATGCTATTTCTCCTCCTGGAATACGCATAAAGAAAATTCATAATTACTTTCTTTTCAGATGCTTCTGCATGTAAATTGCTTAATGGCTGCTTCCCCTTAGGTCCTGCCTTATCAGGGGGATCTTCAGGGCATTGCCAGCAACACCATCAGTCAGGTAATTTGCAAGAATAGTTATTTAATAAACATCCAGCCCCCTTATCACTGTACCCTGCAGGATTCTCATTAGTCGGTAACTTAATTCAAGCTTGAAAGATTTCCATTATGGTGCCCTTTGTTTCCTGCCCATTGCCTAATTTTCTGTTCAGCGGGATATTTTTCTGTAACCTGTGACTTGTTTCTTGACTGACTGACATACATGCATTTTTTTTCCCAAAATGAGCTTGTAGAAATGCACAGTCCATTTCCCATTAATGGTGTGTTCAGTTGGCAATACAATAGGATGTCAGAGAGGTGTTATCAAAACAACCCTTGAAGTTATCTTTAAAAACAAATAAAGTGACTTAAAACAATAGAAGTCAATAACTTGACTTGTGAGTATATATGAAGTCAAAAAGACAATCCAAACTGCAAAATCAATTAAATAATGGAAATAGTAGCTCCCATTTTACCAACTTAATAGCTCAATTATCTCTCCTTTTTTTGTCCAACAAATTTGAGTACTCTGAATTGAAATAGATCATTTAATTAAAAAGTTTGAAATATTTCAAAAATCTTAAAATCTTGCAGATAATGCCAAGTCAGTCAGTCTTATCCCTGGCTGCACAGGTTGCACATTATCACCACCTAGGAAGTTTTAAAAAATGCTGTTGAATGAGTCCAATCTGTCGATATTAAGATTTAATTGGTTTGGGATGAGGCCTGAGAACAGGTAATTTTCTCCCTAGGTAATTCTAATGACCAATCAGTGTTGAAAACCTTTGTAGAAATTTTGCACTATAGCACTTATAAATAGTATTAAATTGTTGTTTTCTTATTGGGTGACTGAGTTGTCATCCAGATTTCAAGGTAGTCCTTCAAGATATTTTTCTTTTAAAAAATGGAATTATATCTTTTGTGTTGGTTGAGTGTTATCACATGCTTGGCTGCACTTAATCATAGTGGCATGAGAGTTTGTAAGACATAATTTCTGCCATATAAGAATCAGGAATGTTGATTCCCACTCAATCTTTATTATTTGGGAATAATAATCTTGAATGTGTGTATTGTACTCAAAACAAAATACAACCTGCACAGCTCTAATAAATCAAGGTGATGTTACTTCTTACCAGAGGTACTCTCCTTCCTGTACATATCTTGTCCTTCCTTCAGGGAACATTCTTCTACTTTGTTTCCACTGCCAAGACATTCTTGTCCTTTTCTCTTTTATGTCTACTCCACATTAAAATCCCTCCTCCCCAGTTTCTCCATTTACCTAGCAGACTCTTCATTTCCTGGGTCTTCCCTGCAATATTACCTCCTTAAGTAGCCTTACCTGAGTATCCTCCCTCTTCACCCACACTGGGTTCTGTAACCACCTATGGGCTCGCAGAGCCTGTTCTTCCTTCTAGATATTTGCCCTGAATCACACTGGCCTATTTTCTTACCTGAATCTCCCACTAGAAAGAAAGCTCCTTGAGGACAGTGGCTGCATTCTCTTCACTATTACAGCTTTGGTGGTTGGCACATGGTAGTAATAACAACAATATATAATAATATTATATACAATAATAATAATAATAATAATAGCAAACACTTATGTACATGGTAGTCACTGTCCTAAGTATAAATATTATCTATTTAGACAAGTCTCATAAACAATCCTATGTAGTAGTTATTGCTATTATTTCCATTTTAAATGTGATGAAATGAAGTTTTTAAAAAGTTTATTAAATTGAATATTCAAGGTCAAACAGCTAGCAAGGGGAATTGCTGGGATTTGAACCCAGACATTCTGGCCCCAGAGTCCATGAGTTCTTAATAAATATTGTTGAATAAACAACTATGTAAGAGGGAGTATAGAGTCCCTCTTTGTGTGTGTGTGTGTGTGTGTGTGTGTGTATAAGAGAAAAAGAAACATATCAGAAGTTCAAACATACAGATAGATGCAAGATCATAAGTCAGTCAGTGACATGTTTGGGATGGGTCTAGAGGTCAGGTGAGAAATGTAAAAATACTACAATACTGTGTCAGAAGTTTTTTGAACCAGTTTGTCTTTTATATAAGAAGAGAGGACAAGAAGTAATGTCAGAATATGCCTGTGATTTAATTGGACCGTTTGAAACTCCATAGGTGACCAGGGCTGGGGAAGATTTGAGAGTTTTTAGGTTGAAGAAGTGTTTATATTATCAGTGACGGTGAATATAAAGCAGGAAGAATTTTCTACTTCAGATTTCATTTGGGGGCTGTTTGGAGTGAATCTTTGTATTAGTTTTCTATTGCTGCTGTAACAAATTATCACAAACTTAGTGGCTTAAACCAACACAGATTTATGATCTCACAGTCCCGAAAGTCAGAAGTCTGAAACGGGTTTTGATGAGTTAACATCAAGGTGTATGCAGGGCTTCGTTCCTTCCAGAGGCTCTAGGAGAGAATCAATTCACTCGTTTACCCCAGCATGTCTTGGTTTATGATCCTTTCTTCCATCTTCAAAGCCAGCAGCATAGCACCTTCAAATCTCTCTCCCTTATTCTCACCCCTCTGCCTTCCTCTTAGAAGGACTCTTGTGATCACATTAAGCCCCTCTGGATAATCCAATATAATCTCACGATCTCAAAATCCTTGACTTACATCTGCAAAGATCTTTTTGCCATGTAAGGTACCAAATTCACAGTTCTAGGGGGCATCTCTAGGGACCATTACTCTGTTTACTAGAACCTTACATCAAAAATCTCTAGGAGAAGCATGTCTGATCAAAGGACTCCCCCATACATTCTGTCTGTCTGGAGGTACTGAGGAAATAAAACTACAGACTCAGAATTTTTTTCAAACTTAGAATTTAAAAAAAAACTGCTCTTTATAAGAATTATGGCATAGGAAGGATGGAGGGAAGTCTTCAGCCAGAGGCTAGAAAATACCACATTTCAATTCTATGACACATAAAAGTTACTGGCCGCCTTCTCTATATGGGGATACTTTAGCGTCCACTCTGTGTACTGGCCTGTGGTCAGCAGAGGACATGACCTCTTGACACTCAGGAGAAACAAGACCATTTGATGTTCAGAAGAGGAGGAGAAGGTAAATTTTGTAGGTATGAATTAGCAAGCTTCAAAAAGGTTACTTGAAAAGAGAGTCAATTCCGGATCTTTCAAAAGGATCACAATGGTTTTATAGTAAAAATATTAAAGATCTCTCCTTTGCTAGAGATTTTAATTTTCTTCTGACTGTATTGACTTGCGGGCCTGTCTTAACAATATGGAGGGGCTAGTCTCATTGGGAGATACATGTTAGTGGACCTATATTCTACAGCTGGGAAATGACTCTTGTGGTCTCAGCTGGAAAGACCTCGTAACTTCCACTTCACATCCAAGCCTGCAGTGCTCTCTCAGTGTCAGTCCCACCGGACAAGGCCCTGGGTGAGTGAAGGAGAAAGCCGACTTAAGTGGGTTGCTTTCCTCTGCACTCAGTGGTATCTGTGGAGGAGTTTGACAGGTTTCCCTTTGCCCTGTATGTTTTTGAAATTTTTCTCTGTTGAGGCATGAAAAAAACCCAATGGATGAGGGGCAAGTTTACAAGTGGCGTGCTTCCATTCTTTCTATATCTCAGATTTCTATGACATGTGCTCCCTTAAGAGTCTTTGATAATCCATTTTTACTCTCACTTTGTCAGATTTTAAAAGGTATCTTCTGCAGCAGGTTAAAAATGGGAAAAGGGTTATGGGGATACAGTCAAGCACACAGCTCTTCATGGCCTCTGTTATGGACTGAATTGTGTCCCTGCCACCCCCAATTCATATGTTGAAGCCCTAATCTCCAGTACCTTAGAATGTGACTGTATTTGGAGATAGAGCCTTTAAATAGGTAATTAAGTTTAAATGAGGTGATACAGTGGGGCTCTAAATTAGTAAGAGTGGTGTCCTAATAAGAAGAGGAGGAAGCACCAGGGAAATGTGGGCACTGAGGAAGGGTCAGCTACAGAGCTGTCATTTGCAAGTCAACAAGAAGAGCCTCAGAAGAAACCGGTCCTGTACCTGTGCTTTACCTTGGACTTCCAGCCTCCAGAACTGTAAGAAAATACATTTCTATTGGTTCAGCCCCCAGTCTGTCATATTTTGTTATAGCAGCTCTAGCAAACTAATGGAATTTCTTCTTTCTCCTATCGTGGGGACTGGAGACACTCCAGAAAGTGGCTGCTCTGTTGTCCTGGGTTCCAGGATCAGAACAACAAAAATACCACACCCTAATGGAGGATCCCCGATGAACAAGAACATGAGCAAACATTCACCTTGTGGTTTTAGAAACTAACATTTGGGAGCTGCACAGCCTAGCCACTAACTATGGGCTTGTTATTTCTTTCTTAGAAACAAGAAAACAAAGTTACAGTTCAGGTGACTTGCCCAAAGTTTTCTGTCCTCTGGACTAAAGCTTCCATTACAGACCCACACTGCTCCCACACCACTGTCATTTACATGCTGGGTTATTTCAGAATTTGAGCTCAGAGCAGAAACCTAACATTACAAGGGAATATATGTGCCATGGAGAGAATAAATGTAAGGTTGACAGCATTTGAAAAATAGAATAAGGCAGCAGAGATCAGGTAATTTAGGAAGTCAGAAAAACAACACCTGTTTCATTGTTTTGTTTTACTTTCTTTCCTTCAAATCTCAAACAGAAGACAATGTGGTTTATGATTATGGAGTTAGAAAAGGCCAGAATTCAAATGTCCACCATTCTATGTGATCCTAGACAAGTGCTTAACCTCTTGGAGTTTAAATTTCTTCTCGTTTAAAATGGTGATTATTAAAATAGTGGGGGAGAATTTAATAATATAATCAATATAAGGTGCCTGGCATGAAGTAGCTGCTACAAAAGTTCCAGGCCTCATTCGTTAACAACACAGATGCTTCATATGAGACCTTAAAGGGTTAAGTAAGGCTTTTCTGAAAACTTCTTTTTAAAATGGTCTCTGCTGCAGTCCTAGAATTCTGAAGGGAAGGGCCTGAAGGTAATTGCCCTTGAGTATTTTCCTGCAGAGAATAAAGTCATGATAAATTACTACAATTTTCTTTAAGTAGAGGAAAACACTAGTACTTTAAAAGCACATAATATTCTGCTCAGCATCTCAGAGACAGCTTGGAGATGTGAATGTGGATCACCTGTCAGCTTTCTACATTTTTCCCTCTTGGTCCAAATTCTTCCAAGTTAAAAGACAAGGCCCTGCTGTCTCAACCCCTTAAGCCTTACCAGTGCAGTTTTAAAAAGCAGTTTTAACTCCATTCACTCTCTTCCAATATGGTGGGCTTAACCTAGAGTCAGCCTTTCTGCCAGGGAAGTGACAGAACCAAGAAAGAATAAAAAAAAAAAAAGAAAGAAATTGTATTAGAATTGAACACTAAACTGGAAGACACACAAGAGTGAATAAACACACAGATGGTGCTTTAAGAGAAATAAAAGGTTAAAAAAGAAAAAAATCTTAAACTAAAAAACAAAGAGAAAACAGAGATTTGAGAGAATCTGACTAATATTGAAAAACATGCAAGGAAGATCCAACATATTCAATCCCTATAGAAAAAGTCAAAGCAAGGGAACCATATACTAAAATTGTAATACAAGAAACTTTCCTGAAATAAAAAATGATCGAAATAGAACTCCTATATGATCCTGCAATCCCTCTTCTGGGTAGATACCAAAAGTAAATGAAATCAGTGCCTCAAAGACATCTGCACTCCCATGTTCCTTGCAGCATTATTCACAGTAGCCAAGATACAGAAACAAGTGTCTGTCAATGGATGAATGGATAAAGAAATTGTGTGTGTTCTACACATACGCATGAAATATTATTCAGCCTTTAAAAAGAAGCAGATATTGCCATTTGTGACAAATTACAAGGAGATATTGCCATTTGTGACACTATGGATGAACCTGGAGGATATCATGCTAAGTGAAATATGCCAGGCACAAAAAGAAAAATATTGCATAATGTAACTTCTGCAGGTTTCCCTTTCCCCTGTATGTGGAATTAAAAAGTCAAATTCATAGAAACAGAGTAGAATGCTGATTACCAGAGGTGGAGAGAGGGAGGAAATTGACAGATGAAGATCAAAGGTTACAAACTTGCAGTTATGTAGGATAAATAGGTCTAGAGGTCTAATGTACAGCAGGAGGACTATAGCTAATATTGTATTTTGAAAATTTGCTAAGAGAGTAGGTTTTAGGTACTCTTGCCTAAAAATAAAAAAGCAAAAGCAAAGAGTAACTACAGAAGGCAATGCATATATTAAATTGCTTACCTATAGTAATCATTTCACTATGGATATGTAAATCAAAAGTTCATATTGTACGCCTTAATACAATAAAAAATTTTCTATAAACAGCGACCTCTGTATGTACCTGAGATTACCAACCCAGAATAATAAATGCCAAGACATATTCTAGTAAAGTTATTCAACTCTAAAGAAAAAGAAAAATAGCCACTAGATACCTGTGCAGAAAGTGTATGTGACTTAGGGGGAAAAGTTAGATTATCATCAAATTTTCATTATGCCAGAAGAAAATGGAGCAACATATTTATACTACTCAAGGAAAAAACATGTTTGCCAAAGATTTTATATACTTGAAAACAAGACTTCCAAGTATACAGAGCACAAACTGTTACAAACATCTAAGAACTTTAGGGATTTTGCTTCTAAGAGTCCTTGAGGAATTTGCTAGAGACTAAGCTTCAGACAACCAAAATGATGAGAGAGATGTGAGCCTATGAAGTGATGGCAAGCATTCAATATATACTCACTAAAAAGTTCAGATGAAATAAGTGTCAAAAAGGAAAGAATATAATAGGTAGCGGCCATATGCAATTATATAGATATAACAAAACTATTTGAAGAAATGGGGGATAAAAAGGAGTATAATATATGTAAAAATGTGACTTTTTATTGATCATAGTCAGTGGTGGTAGTATTAGTGACGTTACATGTGTAAGTTCTTATGTGTATGACATAATTGCAGAATGAATAAGTAATATTCTAATTCTATCACCTCACGTATCCTTGAGAACTAAGACTCTGGTTTGGAAGATGGAGATACAGACATACCTTAAAAAAAGGCTTAGTTAAAACCCTGCTGTCCTGAAATTGAATTAGAAATATCAGAATGCACCCATGAGGCATTTTACCATATATGTTCCAGCTCTGTCTACCAAAAAGTCTTAGAAATAATGACCAGTGCAGTAATACATGTTGAGTATCTGTAATCTGAAAATCCAAAATTCAAAATGCTTCAGTGTTCAAAACTTCCTGAGCACCAACATGATGCCACAAGTGGAAAATTCTATGCTTCATGTGATGAGTGGACAAAGTCATTTAAAATATTGTATAAAATTACCTCAGGCTATGTATGTAAGGTGTATATGAAACACAAATGAATTTGTGTTTAGATGTGGGTCCCATCCCCAAGATATCTCATTACGTATGTGCAAATATTCTAAAATAAAAAATCAGAAATTAAAAGCATTTCTGGTCCCAAGCATTTCAGATAATGGATACTCAACCTGTAATGATCATTTATACACCCCAGATTATAATATTAAAATATCATTTCCCACTAAAAAAAAAAAAAACAAGACTTAAAGAAATGGCTGACTCTGGGTGTGTGACACGAAGTATATAAGCCTGGACCATTTTGTCAGAGCAAATAGCAACAAAGTTAGCTGAGGCTGCGAGGGTTGTGTCAAAAGGACTTAGGAGACAATTTGGAGAGGCTCCCACTGCCCCAAAGTAGAACAATTTGAGTTATAGTAATAGGAGAAATAATAGTAATTAGAAATACCCAATATTTAATAAGAAGATAAAACTATCAAATTTGTTTGCATTCATGAACTCCTAGTGATGTTAAAAAGAGAACAGGCCACCTTTGCAGGATAACAAAGAACCACTTCATCCTGAAAACTGGTAAAAGAAAATAAGATTTGTCCTTCTTCTGTGTGAATATACTACTGAATAAGCAAACAGTAGATAAAGAAAAGTTTCCTTATAAATTTGTTTCATGTAATATAATCACATAATTAACATAGAACCATTTTCAATCTGGCATAAATTAATGGATTTAGGTATTGAACTTCAAAAGCTGCTATCAACAGAGATATAAGATCAGTAGACCACTATGAACTTCCTGATGGAAGTATACACTACCACCTAATGCCTCTGCAAAAGATCAGAGTAGAATCTAATCAAGCTTTTGAACCTAGTTTCTTGTTGAACTTCACCATGAGCATACACTCAGTAAAATCCAGACTGGCAAACTCTACAGGTCAACCTTCCTGAGTTCTTGAGCAAACTAATTACAAGGAAAAGAAAGACATAAAGGGAGAATCTGTACATTTAAAAAATTTAAATATATAACAAATTCTTTTTTAAATGGGAAACACAAAACACTGGCAAGGATGCAGAGAAAGAGATTAACCCATGTATTGCTCATTAGAAAATAAAATAGGTAAAGCCACTCTGGAAAACAGTTTAACAATTTCTTCTAAAATTAAAACATATAACCCATAAAATTTGGCGTTATCTCATAAAAATAGAAAGTTGTGTTCAAACAAAAATATGTACCTGATAGATTTATAATAAAGCTATATCTATTGATAGCAGCTTTATTATAATAGCTAAAAATTGGAAACAACCTAAATGTTCTTCAATGGTTGAATGATCAAGCAAACTGTGACACATCCATACCATGGAATACAACTCAACAATAAAAAAGGTACTATTCATACACACGAAGTGAATGGACCTCCACAAAATTATGTGAAAAAAGAGCCACCCTCAAAAGGTTACATGATGTATAAATTCACTCGAATATTCTTAAAATAACGAAATCATAGAGATGGAAAAAAGTAATATTTACTAGAGGTAAGGATTTGGGAAAGGAGGGGTGGTTATGGCTGTAAGGGGGGAGCAGAGGAGCCTTATGGTAATGGAACAGTTATGCATCTTGATCGTAGTAGTTGTTAGCCAAAGATATGTATGTGATGTAAATATCATAACATTATAAACACACACAAATGAGTGAATATATAATTAATAAAATTAAAATATAGTTTGTGAATTGTATCAATGTCAATTTCATGGCTTTCGTGGTATACTATTAAAGAATAAAACTTGTTTCTTTTTAGTCACAACACTTCTGACACCAAATACGGTGTTTTTTCCACCACCAAGAAATTCTCCAGTTCTCTGTGGACACCAACTCGGTTCATTCAATTCACCAACTGGGTGCAGTCAATTCAATTCTAATGCTGTGTACCTAGTGTTAGCAATAGATACCACAAGTTAAAGGGCTCAATCCAACACTACCCCAACTTCAGATGCCATTCATAAATCCCAGGTTGCCATCTATACTTCTGCCTGACCAGCTACAAACTGGGGATTCCCATGATTCCCTTCTCATGTTTGATATTTGCTGTTACAGCTCGCAGAATTCAGGGAAACACTTTACTTACTATTATTGGTTTGCTATAAAGAACACAATTCATAAATAGCCAAATAGAAGAGATGCACAGGGCAAGGTATGTGGGAAGGGATGTGGAGCTACCATGTCCTATCCAGGCATGCCACCCTCCAAGCACCTCCAAGTGTTCACCAGCCCTTCACACCCCATTTTTTAGGGGCTTTATGGTGGTTCCATTATCTAGGCAGGATGGATTAAGTTATTGACCACTGGTGATTGAACTCAATATCCAGTCCCTCTCCCGTCTCCAGAGGTCTGGGGTGGGCTGAAAGTTTTAATCCTCTATTCACATGGTTGGTTCCTCTTGCAACCAGCCCTCATCATGAAGCTATGTAGGGGCCCAGGTGCCAGTCATCTCATTAGAATACTGAAGGACACTCATCACTGTGAAGATTCCAAGGGTCTTAGAAGTTCTTATGTATGGAGCCAGGAGCTAAGACCAAATATTATAACGAAAGATGCTCTTATCACCCCTATCACTCAGGAAATGATGAGAGTTTTAGGAGTTCTGTGTCAGGAACCACAGGAAGAGACCAAATATATATATTTCTAGTTATATCACAACTACAGTTATGCAAGATGCTAATATTGGGGGAGGAGGAGTAAAAGGTGTGTGGGACCATCCCGTAAATTTCTGGAACTTCTGCGAATCTTACTTTTAAATAAAGAGTTTTAGAAATGGGTAAGACTAAATAACATTTCAGGATGCCCAATTGGGTGAGGAAAGTACAGAGAAATGTAAGAAAGTAGTTGCTTTGTAAGTTGTGGTTCTGATTAGTTCTGGAGACAGGGAGGGAAGTGTAATCAGGATAGGGCATATGAAGGGGCTTGTGACATGTTTGGCAAAGTTCTATTTTTTGATTGGGTGATGGTCACAGGAGTTTACCTGATGACTCACCAAGCTATACATGTTTTATGTAAGTGTTTTATGTTGGATTGTGTGTGTTGTGTCCATGTGCATGTATGTGTACATTCTCTAAATTTGCTTTTGTTTGTGGAGCAGAGGTGAACAGGATGCCATTTAAGCACACACAGTAGATTGCTTCCAGCTAATACCAGACAGCTGCTGAAATCAGGAGGCTTAATGAGATGGTGCAATGCTCTTAGGTTTATGTCTTTGCATTAACAGGGAAAACCTCCAAATGATCCAGGTTTAAGTAATGGGATGCTTTCTAAATTGTTATAATTAGACAATTTTGATAGCAACGAACAAAGAAAATGCCATGTTTCACCATGAGAATGCATGTTTTTAAAGATATCAGGAAATTCATAGGTTTGGCCGTGGCAAATTATAATCTAATGAATTTGCAATTATCATAAATTATTTAGCCACCATGAAACTGTAGATAATTGGATTTCAAGGTCTATTAAAGTTTATAACTACTTATATTGATATTTTTGAGACCTGCTTACCTAGAGTAAGCATCTTTATTATTTTGTATCGGGGATGGTGGGATGAAATATCAAGATTCTTTCCTTTAAGGGGATATCCAAGAATACACTGGGCTTTGTTCAAGTTACAACTGGGTAAATGCTGTAAGTTATTATAATGGACTCCAAATGTGACATTATAGATTCAATGGCTGTCTCCACACCTCAGAACTTCAAAGCTGCTGATGGCAGAAAGTAGCCAGGTCTGGAATGGACTCTCAACAAATATTAGCTAGACGGAGCATATTGTACGCATCACATTTTTCTTTCTAATTCTGGCGGGAACATTCCTCAAAGAGGATTATTCCAGAGTTCTACATAGCAAAGGAGAGCCTTTACCCAAAGACTATGTTGTAAATGTTTTATCAAAAAAGGAATGCATTTTCGGAAGAGCCTTTCCAATACAGGTGAGAACATGGATGTTGCAGAGAATACAGGATGCAATCCTCAATTTTAAGACTTTACAGATATTAAGCATGAGTATTTCGCATTGAAGAGATAGGGGTAAAGAATGGTCAGCAAGACAATTTAATGTAAATAGGGAGAAGAGGGAAGAGTAGTCATCAGGCTGGGGATGAGAGCTTTAGTGAACTGTGCACTGCAGGGTTAGCACCACAATTCTAGGCAATTCTGAATAGTAGAGATTCCATTCCATGTTCTGTTCCAGTAATTTCTTACTCCATCTCTTTCCTTCCTCATCCTCTACCTTTAGAAAACCAAGCATTTTTCCCCTGGTTATTTCCACTTGGTTTTTAGATAACAGTTGTGTCAATATCTTGAGCACATAGAGATTACATGTCTAAAAGATGTAATAGTAGTTTTAATAGCAGAAAGCTCAGCTGAGATTTAATTTCCTCTTTGGGATGTAGGCTTTCTTTCTGAACATGCTGCTGTAGCTGTCTGAAGAAAAAAATACCAATTCTGACATATCTCGGTTTAGAATAAAATACCTCTCCTTATCAATGTTGTTCGCCTACTTGTTATGAAGCAATTTAGGGCAATCACTAAGATTATGAAATGTAATGGTGCACTAATGGGGCATTTCACATATGAGCAGAATAAAGTCATCTCATTGGGAATTTCTTGTGGACTTTAAAAAGTGATGGCCTGGCCGGGCGCGGTGGCTCACGCCTGTAATCCTAGCACTTTGGGAGGCCGAGGCGGGCGGATCACGAGGTCAGGAGATCGAGACCATCCCGGCTAAAAACGGTGAAACCTCGTCTCTACTAAAAATACAAAAAATTAGCCGGGCGTAGTGGCGGGCGCCTGTAGTCCCAGCTACTTGGGAGGCTGAGGCAGGACAGTGGCCAGGAGAGTGGCGTGAACCCGGGAGGCGGAGCTTGCAGTGAGCCGAGATCCCGCCACTGCACTCCAGCCTGGGCGACAGAGCGAGACTCCGTCTCAAAAAAAAAAAAAAGTGATGGCCTGTTTACATAAACCTAATATTTTCCCTTTGGTATGGGTATCTCTATTTAAGAAAATTAATATGTGGTTTAGAATGGATAAATCTATAGAAGAAAGACTTAATCTTCTGCACAATCTACTTTTGATGTTACTAGACATGATGTGGTACTCAGTTGTTGTTAATAGATTATAATATGCAGGGGGTAAATGGAACTTCTAATCCACAGTGGTGTTATAGCCTCATCACATGACAAAGCAGATTTGGCCACAGTCTTTTGTTTTCTTGTCTATCTGCCTGCCTTGTCTCTGTCTCTGACAATAAATGCCATTTTTACTGAACAAGCCTCTATTCCACACCCTGGAACTTTACATTTTAACTTTGGTGGCATTTCTATCACTCTTTCCACATTCTGCACACAGGCATGCCATTCCAGTCGGCCAATAAGGAGCAACTCCCCAGCGGTGAGCACATGGGTCCACTCTTAGCCTTTTCTTGGCCCTATCTAGAATATTCACTTTCAAGCTCCATTGTCATGCATATAACAGTCAGGCTTCTTTGATCTCATTCTGTCCTGAATGTCAAAATGTTTAAGTCAGTTTTTGCATAGAAATAGTCTTCAGCAACTCCTTTCCTTCGCTCTGGTTATATTGGGCCTTTCAGGCTGCAGGAAGACAGGGGCTGTGTCTTCTTAATAGCTTCCCCTTCGGCCATTGCAGCCCCATCCATAGCACAGTGTCTAACACTTGATTACGTTTTTGTTAAACAATGAATGGAACAATGATTAAATGACTAAAAGTTTTCTTGCTTGTGGCCCTTTTTTTCATGTTCTTTCTCAACTTCTGTTTTTAATTTCATGCTTTCTGTGTTGTGGCTTCTACTCAACCCCAAAGTCTCTTCCTCCTCCTCCTCCTCCCCCTCCTCCTCCCCCATCCTCCCCCATCCTCCTCCCCCTCCTCCCCCCTCCTCCTCCCCCTCCTCCTCCTCTCCCATCCTCCTCCCCCCCTCCTCCCCGCTCCTCCTCCTTCTCCCCCTCCTTCCCCTCCTCCTCTTTTTCTTTTCCTTTTTCCGGGTTAAAATTACTTGCCACCTCAACCACAGTTTTGTTAATTTTTTTTTAAATTTCAGCTTTGATTTTAGATACAGGGGGTTCATGTGTAGGATTGTTACATGGGTATATTGGACCCAGTTAGTAAGCATACTAACCAATAGGTACTTTTTCATCCCATGTCCTTCTCCTCCTTACCTCCACCCTCTTATAATCTGCAGTGTTTATTGTACCTATTTATGTCCAGGTATGCTTAATGTTTAGCTCCCACTTACAAGTGAGAACATGTAGTGTTTGGTTTTCTGTTCCTGCATTAATTCTCTTAGGATTATGGCCTCAACTCCATCTAGGTTTCTACAAAGTACATGATTTCATTCTTTTTTATGGCTGTGTAGTATTCCATAATGTGTATACACCACATTTTCTTTATCCAATCTATCACTGATGGGCAGCTAGGTTAATTCCATGTCGTTTCTATTGTGAATAGCATGGCAATGAACATACAAGTGCATGTGTCTTTTTTGATATTTTTAATGAATATCTATTGGATATTCCTCTTAACACTTAAGTTATTGCTGTATGCACTTAAGAATTATGCTGGATGCTAAAATTTATGATACTTGATGTATCCAGGAGATTATAATACAAGCTCAGAAAACCCAGCATCTACTGGGTCTGATAAGCAATCAAGTGTAGAAGTAAGCTTTCCCTTCCCTAAACAGTGATGCCTGCTTCATACAATCTCACACAGAAAGAAGGCATTAGACATAGATGGATTTCACCTTCCTCCCTGACAAGCGATGAGGAAATATAATAAAGGCCTATGGCATTTAAAAGAAGAATGCTACCTTCACAAGTACTTTTTTAAAAACTTTATCCATTGTAAATAGAACTCATACTATTACATACTTTCTAGCCATATTAATTTAAAAATTACACGATATTCACTTTCTGTCTTATCCAGGGTAGTGTTTGTCAACTTCTCCACCCAGAAATCTCAAAGGCAGAAAATAGTGACTATGTGTATTATTGTTGGGGGTGTGTAGGAAAAATAGCCATATTCAAACCTAAATGTTATTTGAGGCCTCCTATTTTAGCTCTAAAATTAATTCAAACTTTGTACTACATTTTGAAATCACGCTTTTGCTGTTCATGAAGTAAACTTGATATTCTGGGAAGATGTATGCCTGACCACAAGCTCCACATACTCCTAGTTTGAAGCTGGCACGCCCCAGTTGGCCAAAGCAGGGTTTGTAAGTTAGAAAGATATTTAGAATTAATGGGAAAAAAGATTCTGCTCCCAACATTTAGGCTATGTAAGGAGAACCAGGCATCTTATATGGGCAACATAAGGGCTCTACCCAGCATAGCCACATCCAGCTGTAAGAGTTCAGGGAGTGAAAGCTTACATCAAATGAGGAAACTTGGAGACATTTCAAGAGGAGATGACATTCCAGACAGTAGAAATCTTTATATATGTGTTCAGTGAAAATACAGTTTAGGATCTGGTTTTTAGTTTCTTGTTTCTTCCCCCCACATCTAATCTGTGATCACCTTATCTCATTCTTGTTTTCTGATAATCACATTCTTATGAATTCTTTTATTTCCTGCAAGCTAGGAAATAATAAAATTAAGCTTGTTTAAGAATCGTTCCTTTTGATGTGCTGCTGGATTTGGTTTGCCTGTATTTTATTGAGGTTTTTTGCATCAATGTTCATCAGGAATATTGGCCTGAAACTTTCTTTTTTTGTTGTGTCTCTGCCAGGTTTTGGTATCAGGATGATGCTGGCCTCATAAAATGAGTTAGGGAGGAGTCACTCTTTTCTATTTGTTTGGAATAGTTTCAGAAGAAATGGTACCAGATCCTCTTTGTACCTCTGGTAGAATTCGGCTGTGAATCTGTCTGGTCCCGGGCTTTTATTTGTTGGTAGGCTATTAATTACTGCCTCAATTTCAGAGCTTGTTATTGGTCTATTCAGGGATGTGACTTCTTCCTGATTTAGTCTTGGGAGGGTGTATGTGTCCAGGAATGTATCCATTTCTTCTAGATTTTCTAGTTTATTTGCATAGAGGTGTTTATAATATTCTTTGATGGTAGCTTGTATTTCTGTGGGATCAGTGGTGATAGCCCCTTAATCATTTTTTATTATGTCTATTTGATTCTTCTCTCTTTTCTTCTTTATTAGTCTGGCTAGTGGTCTATCTATTTTGTTGATCTTTTCAAAAAACCAGCTCCTGGAGTCATTGATTTTTTTGAAGGATTTTTTTGTGTCTCTAACTCTTTCAGTTCTGCTCTGATCTTAGTTATTTCTTGTCTTCTGCTAGCTTTTGAATTTGTTTGCTCTCGCTTTTCTTGTTTTAATTGTGATGTTAGGGTGTCGATTTTAGATCTTTCCTGCTTTCTCCTGTGGGCATTTAGTCCTATAAATTTCCCTCTTAACACTGCTTTAGCTGTGTCCCAGAGATTCTGGTATGTTGTGTCTTTGTTCTCATTGGTTTCAAATAACTTATTTATTACTGCCTTAATTTCCTTATTTACCCAGTAGTCTCATTCAGGAGCAGGTTGTTCAGTTTCCGTGTAGTGCCGTTTTGAGAGACTTTCTTTTTTTTTTTTTTTTTTTTTTTGAGATGGAGTCTCCCTGTGTCACCCAGGCTGGAGTGCAGTGGTGTGATCTCAGCTCATTGAGTGAGTTTCTTAATCCTGAGTTCTAATTTGATTGCACTGTGGTCTGAGAGACAGTTTGTTATGACTTCTGTTCTTTTGCATTTGCTGAGGAGGGTTTTACTTCCAATTATGTGGTCAATTTTAGAGTAAGTGCTATGTGGTGCTGAGAAGAATGTATATTCTGTTGATTTGGGGTGGAGAGTTCTGTAGATGTCTGTTAGTTCCACTTGGTCCAGAGCTGAGTTCCAGTCCTGAATATCCTTGTTAATTTTCTGTCTTGTTGATCTAATATTGACAGTGGGGTGTTAAAGTCTCCCACTATTGTTGTGTGGGAAAGAATCATTCCTAAAGAGGACTTTAAATGAAAACTTTCAGGTAAAATAGGTGGGGGTTGGCTGAGAGCTGTGTGACAGATCTTCTGGGACAGATAGGACTTAACATCCAGGTATAGAGATTTGTTCCAATATATAATGCTCTCCTAGAGACTGCTCTCCAGATAATTGAGGTAATGCTGCGCTATTTAATGATAATATAGACACTGCAATATATTACTAACCTTTTCTTTCTTTTTTAAAAGACTCTCTTATCGATTTTTTTTGAACCCACATCTGGACTGAGTCATCCCAAGTTTTTGAGTTCATGATCTCATTCTGGGTTTTGATGACACGTTTATGTTCCAAGAGAATTAAGTCGGTTGGGGATGGAAAGAGAGGGCATGTCACACAGAACTTGGTATGAAGTCCTGCCAGGCCCAGGGGCTTAGGCTCTATCTGCTAGGTGAGGGGGGTCAAGAAAGGTTCCAAGGAGTTGACTGTCCTGATGAGTTTGGCATTTCAGGTTGCTCCTTCTGGCAGGCAATAAGTCTTCAAATAAGGAAAGTAGAATAGATGGTGTTCCAGAGGCCATTTGGCAAAACTGGGTAACTAATGGGAAATGGGTTGAGAGTGAGCCAGGGGAGGATACTTAGGTTAACATCCATGTTTTGAAGAGTCTGAGATACATAATAATAAAAATCTGTGTGATAGTTAAAATAACTAATGTCATCGAGCACCTGCTATTTGCCTGGTGCAAGACTGAATTTTTAATCATCAAGCTTTGAAATTTGGTACAATTAGTGTCCCCATTTTACAGATGATAAAACTGAGGCTCAAAGGAGTCACACAGCCCAAGATTACACAGGAATGGAGCAGAGCTGGACACCACAGGAATGACAAGACAAGTAAGACATAATTGCTATCCTTGGTGTGACACTTAAGGAATCTCTCTGTGGATGACCAGCACTTTAGAGTACACAAAACACCTTTAAATATGTTATTTTAGTTAATCCCCACATAGTATTGTATAGGAGGCATTGCCATCATCATCTTACACATGATGAAACTGAGATCTAAATGGAAGGAGTTGCTTTCTAAGATCAGACAGTAATTAGATGACGCATCTAATTTAAATGATAAATCCGAGCAGTTTGCAGAACATTACAACTTCTTTACAAATGCCATGAGTGAGATACTGCTGCTACTCACACTGGTGTAAGTCCCAAGTCATTCATGGGAAAAGAGTGCAGATGATACAGTTTAGATTCTGGGATCAGACTGCTTATTATATTGGCACCTCATTTCTGCTATAAGACCTTGGACAAGTTACTTATTCTCCTAGGTATGTTTTCTTATCCAAGAAATGGGAATAATAATGGCATATTTTGCTATTTTTATAAGGCTTCTGTGATAATTTTTAAGAGATAATTCATGCAACATGCCTGGAGCCTAGTAAAATTCAATTAATGTTAGTAGTAATAAAAATAGTTCAAAGAAATGACATAGAATTAGTTGCAGAAGGAAATACTAAAATATATAAAATCACATTTCAAATGAATTTTGAAGAATTTCAGAAGGTATAAGAGAAGCAATCCTGTGGCTAGGGAGTTAGGAATGTTTTTAATCCCGAAGATTGTTTTTGTTTAAGTTAGCAGTAGTGTTTATGAGCAGAAGAGTTAAATTATTGGAGATGGGCCCGGCACGGTGATTCATGCCTGTAATCCCAGCACTTTGGGAGGCCAAGGCAAAAACATTGCTTGAGACCAGGAGATAGAGACCAGCCTGTATAACCCTGTCTCTACAATAATAAAAATAATGTTTTAAATTGTTGAATATGTACTTAAAGAAAAGCAATTAGGCAGCACAATGAAATAGTCCCAGAGAGAAGAATCAAGGCCCTGAACAAGGGTGGTAGTGGAGGGGATAGAAAGGGGGAGATAGATCGGTATGAAGGGCTGCAGGGCATTTTAGGAGCTCTTACCAGCATGCATTTGGATTGCTTCTTCACAACATCACTTAGTAAATACATAAGAAATGCAAACTCACTTTCTAACCCTGCTAAGCAAAAAAATCTAATCTGGATGGTGTTTGCTACACTACAACAAAATGCATTCCAGAATCAGGTATAAACAATTTGGGAGTTACATGTTGTTCTGATTGCCTGCACTTTTTTTTTGTGCTTTGGTGCAAGAAACCCAGAGTTGGTGTATGGATTCACGTATCCACATTTGCTATTCTGTCTGCTTTCTGAGAGGTGTTTATTTGTTGGCTTCTGTGCTTATTTGTACTTGTGTTCTCATCTTGAAGCATGGTCTCTAGGATAATTTTCTCAGAAGGCAGAAATACATGAAATGTAAAAATATCTACACTCTTGTGCCTATACCTATATTTTGATCTCAGTTGAATTTTTATAGTTGTCCTGCTGTTAAGCTGAATTAACATTGAGCAAAGAGACCACTTAAAAAATTTTACTAGTAGTGTTTCAATTTCTTGTATCCTAGATTTAATGGAAGTGGTTAGACATTTTGTAATGAGCCAGTTCTTCATTCTATAATGATAGTTTTTGAATGTCATGATCTAAAACTAGCAAAAGTTTTGAGACCATGTACTACTTATGGAAAGGAGAGGGGAATATTTAAGCCTGAAGGGTATTTTTCAAAATAGCACTGGGCTGGCTTATCCTGTCTAACAATCCTGGATCCAGTGCGAGTGGATTGCAGTTTGCTGGTGCTTATTCAGATTAGGGCAAAGAGCTGGCTTGAATGATCTAGCTGTAAGTGTACCCTTCCAGAAGTACCCTTCTACTCTTGGAGGATCTCAGGGACTGAAATTATCTCAGATCCAAGGTTACCAGGGACAATGACTTAACCAGTCCAAATTAGGTTTGTACTTGCTATGTTTCGACTTAGATCGGGTGTTTGACATTTTCGCATGTGGCAGCAAAAGCTTTTATGTCCTAATAATGTTTATGAACGTAGTCTGGTTGGTCAAACAAGAACAATGAGCTATCACAACAATTTTCAATTTTCATAGGCATATCTTATGTTTGTAAGTTTCTAAGTTTACAATGTAGAAGGCAGCTAATGTTAATAATAAGTCCACTGTCGACAAGTGTAGTAAGGCCTAGGACTACCTCACTCAGTGATTACTGCTGTAAGATCACAGTCCCTCTGAATCTCGTTGGACATTCAAAATGTCCTTAAAGTGTTAGAAACAGGCAAATATCTTTTTAAGTCTACTACCTCATGTATGCTTCATGTGACCATAACTTAACTGAATGAATCCTTTAAATGAGCTGTTGATGTCCTATTTGCCATTTTTTTCCTCCTAAAGAAATTCGTGTTTAGCTGCAAGGTAACTTCCCTGTGTGAAATTTACAGGTTTGCCAGCCATAGAAAACATTAATGCATAATACATAAACAAAATGTATGCTCCTTTTGAAAAAAAAAAAAAAAAAACCAAGGAATTTAGTCCTTGCTTTCCAAAGGGAGAATACATGAATCTTGCATTTTTATTTTTGATGCCTTTTTGCCTCTAAATATATGAGATGACTATTAATGCCCATATTCACAGCAGGGATAGAAGGGAAGTGGCAGTAAATTGTAAAGCACATTTACATTATAACAAGGCCTGTGGAAGCATTGTAATTCACACAGTTATTTCAACAGAGGTTTGGACTCCCTCCAATTTAATTTTCTGAAGTTGGGCTGTGCAGCTGGGTCATTCCTGGTCTAATCTGGGAAATGTATCTCTTAAGGCTGTGGATCAGAATGCCAGCCTCCCAGTTGTCACCAGGGAGCATCATTTACAGCCACTGAGGTCCGAGGGCAAAGCATCAGAATCACTTAATGTGGACACAGCAGCCTAGCTAGCTTCATAAATTCTGTTGCAAAGAGCAATAATCAATATTTCATGTTTAATGATGCAGAGTTAAAATTACTATAGATTTTATGTCTTCTACTTTTCCAAATTATGCAAACATTAGTAACCCCTTTTTTAGTGCCCTTATTACACTTCCATTAAAAAACGGATGGAGGGGAGCAGGTGAGGAAGCCTGGTAATATATAATGAAATTATTGAATGGTCAAAAGCATCAAAAGTGATTTTGGTTTTTAATTTTTGTTAAATAGTTGCCCTTAGGTTAATATATAATTATTTCCAAGACACAAAAACCTGATTTATGTAAGTGGCACAGGTTTTGTCACCCACAGCTACACAGTGAAGTAAATTGCAGATTGTTTTCACATTTTAAGTTAACTTAAATGCTCTGGGATATGTTGGGATTAAATGATCATGATGTTAGTCAGAAAAGTTAAAAGGTTGGCATTTAGAAACAAGTGAACAAGTGTACTTTAGAGAAAAAGCAATTTTGATTGGATTTCTGATTTTAAACCTGTCCAAAGAACATACGCTGCTTGCTTAGACAATAGAAGTGGTCGAGATTGAAAAAGGAGGAAAAATAAAAAACAAACCAGAACAGTGTTTTATTATTGGGCAGGTCAAGGAGCTGACTAAGCAGCCACAGTGATGGGCTTGTCTAACCTCTTAGCTATTCCACTGTCTGTGACAGAAGAAAAGACTGCGGGATTGAGACAGGAGGGTAAAGCCAGACACAAAAGAACAAAATTCAATACCCACCATTCATTCTAATAGTTCACACCCAAGTTACTTTAGAACAACTCTTATAACAGTGGGAAGCCTGGGAAGTAGTCAGTAATTTTTCACCATAACAGTATAGCCTAGATTCCTTTGCCACTCATAACACAGACTTCATTTGGAGAAATGGGATTAAGGATTCTGGAATGCTGTGTGTCTGGATTGTACTTGAATAATTCAACTTGTATTTTGCAGAGAGGTCTAGCCTACATTTAAAAGAAAAGAAGCAAATAGAGCATAGTAGAAATTGTCCTGTTATTTGGTGAGTCTAACCGAACCAGGTTCAGGTCCTTGAGTAGTGACAGCTTCTCCTATAAAGATTAATTATCAAACACACATGTTCTTCTGGTAAATAATATGATTAATTAATATGATTAGTTAAGTTTATTGGTTTATAGAAAAAGAATTGCAAAGACAGGGCAAACAAAAGAAACTTAGGGTTCTTGAAGTTTCTGGATTCAGAGACAACTCATGTAAAAGGACGACTGAGAGTTTAATGAAGTGACTATTTACATAGTTGTGGCAGAGTAGAGGAGAAGCCACAAGGAAGAAGGAAGCATCTGGGGTTATCAATAGTTGAATGGGGCAAAGGAAGGGAGAGGAAGGAAGGGTAGGTCTTGGAGGGGTGAGAAAATGGAGCAGTTATGGGAATATGCACTATCTTGTGGGAAAGGCCACTCTATGGAAACTATGGCCATTAGTTATGTCCAACCGTGCTCCAGCAAGAGAGGAGAACAGAGAGAAAAAATATTCAACTTCTTTCTTCTGCTACCCTCTGGGCTCATGCCAGTGCCTCCCTCTGCTCAAACATTCCCCAGGGCCATAGAATAAAGGGTCTAATAGATAAAGTCCAAAATTATGAGCCTCTCAGACACAGGGAAGAATGGAGAAGAGTAAAGACTGTATCTGACAGGCAGACAATAGCAGACGATATAAAACTACTTGGGATTTTTTGGGCCATTAAGCTACTAAAGTTTCTTTTCCTCTTAGAATAACACATTTACTTATTCAACAGATAATATCAAGCACCTCTTCAATAACTCATTTTGGGAATAAGCACATCAAAGTGAGTAAGTTACCATCCCTGACCTTGAAGAGCTGAGTGGGGGAGGCAGGTAAAGAGTAAATATTAAAAATAAGGATCACCAGAGGTTGCTGAGGAAGGAGGGTGGGGTACCCAACTTTCTTTTTGGGTTAGAAATATCTGCTTGAAGGAGGGGAAAATTGGGGTCTTCCCGAAAGAAGAATGGTGTGGATCAGTAGAAGAGTTAGAGGCATGTTGTCACTGAAATGTCCAGTGGGCACGTGAGTTCTGGGATTTTGTTATGAATCATTTGACTGGGCTCAGAGAAGAAGTGTGTGCAGGGGCCAATGAGGTGGAGTGGGGAGAGGCAGGCTGGGCTTTGTCACACAGACCTTGGCTGAGGAGTTTGGAATCTAACCTGACAGCAACAGGGAGCTAGTAGAAAAATGGCATTGTCTTCTAGTAAGAAAATGATATTGCCAGATATAAAATCAGAGACAAATGGGACTAGCAAGAGAAACCAATGATGGGGTAGATCTATTTGTGTTTGCTTTTAATAGTAAAATAAAACAAAGCTTTCTCAAAGGATGAAACTATGAGTGAAGATCTGTGGAGTAACATGACTTGCTTATCCATCTCTGAGAAAATGAGGACATGGTTTGGAACTTCCAGGCCAATTGAATTGAAGTGTTTTTGTATAGCTAGCTTAAATAACCAAATGATGAAATCAATCCTCCAAATTGTCAGCAGAGCAGCTGCTCAGAAAGCTCTTGTTAGTCATTGACCTTATGTTTAATATGATTTCCTAGAATGTGGATAGTCAGATATTGAATAAAGTACTGCATCAAAGCCCTCCCCACCCAGCAAGCTTTCTGCAATGAAATATTCAAGGAAAGGAGAGTGGCTGGCACAAATTGCAAAAATGCTTTTCTTTATGCCCCCTAAGTCCCCAGAGAAAAAAAAAATAGAAGAAAGCATACCACAGCCACATCTTGGAGAAGAAAGTGCCAGGACTGGCAGTAGCTCCATTTCTTTTCTAATCATGATGCAGGGGGAAGAAAAAATTACAACCTAAAAATTAACCTTTGGTTTTTAAGAATAGTTAAGATTTCTCATTCAAACTATTTCCTTTCTGTATCAGAGCAGCTTCAAGTTTGACCATTTCCAGTCCTGCACTGCATAATGCCGTTTGGCCAATATTGATCACATATACAACCCATAACAACATAACATTACAAAGGTTGCAATACAATATTTTTACTGTACTTTTTCTAGATTTGGATATGTTTAGATATACAAATATTTACCATTGTGTTATAATTTTCTTACAGTAACATATGCTTTATAGGTTTGTAGCCCAGGAGCAATAGGCTGTATCACATAGCCCAGGTGTGTAGTAAGCTATACCATCTAGGTTTGTGTAGGCATACTCTGATGTTCACACAATGATGAAATCTCCTAATGACAAATTTCTCAGGACATATCCTTGTTATTAAGCAACACGAGACAATATATGACCTAGATCTGTTACTTATGTCATTGGAGGTGGGGTGTGATATGATTAAAAAAAATAGGTAGGAAGTGTAGGGGAAAATAGGGGATAAATGTGGAGGCTTATTCTTAGAATATGGAACCAGAGTCTATAGGACTAAAGAGTAAGTTTTACCCTAAAAATAAAATGACATGTTAAATATTGCAAAGGATAATCTATCTATCTATCATCTATCATCTCTATATTTCTACCTATTATAATTACTCTGCCTATATGGTAGATATTAGCTTTCACTTACTATGAATATCACAAATGTAATAACAGAGTTAAAAATAAAGATGTTTATAGATCATGTAGTTAAAGAGGTGGGCAATGATTGTTCTAACTGCCTAAAAAGAATCCTTGTGGCAATTAAATATTTAATTTTGCTTAAGCTTCTACCAGCCAAAGCAAAACAAATGACCTCGTTAAGACTTATGAGTTGTTATTATTGATGAAAAGTAGTGTACTATTACATCAAAAGGGGCAAATATACCCTACTACTAAATTCTAAATTGTATTTCTCTTTAATTCCATTATATAAAAAAGAGATCCAGTGTTTTATATAGACACTCTATAATAGATCTCAATCCCTACCTCACCACAACATACATAAAAAGTAATTCACGGCCAGGCACTGTGGCTCACACCTGTAATCCCAGCACTTTGGGAGGCCGAGGTCCAGCACTACAGGAGTGCACCACTACACCCAGCTAATTTTTTTGTACTTTTTAGTAGAGAGGGGGTTTCACCTTGTTGGCCAGGCTGGTCTTGAACTGCTAACCTCAAGGGATCCACCCACCTTGGCCTCCCAAAGTGTTGGGATTATAGGCATGAGCCACCGCACCCGGCCCCGTCAGTGTTCTGAAAAAGACATTTTAAAAGACATGGCCAAAACAAAGCAAGCAAACAACAGCTTAGTTCTGAACTTTTATAATGCTATGGCTCATCTTAGAATTTTGTATTCACTAGTCCTAGGTTATGGCTCACATGGTAACTTCTCAGGATTCTTTTACTTGTATAAAAAACAACAACAAAACAAAACAGAAACCCCAACTGAAAGTGTTTTTTTTAAAGTGAGAGAATCTGGCCAGGAGCAGTGGCTCATGCTTGTAATCCCAGCACTTTGGGAGGCCGAGGCAGGCGGATCATGAGGTCAGGAGTTCAAGACCAGCCTGGCCAACATGGTGAAACCCCATCTCTATTAAAAATACAAAAAATTAGCTGGGTATGGTGGTGGGTGCCTGTAATCCCAGCTACTCGGGAGGCTGAGGCAGGAGAATCACATGATCCTGGGAGGTGGAGGTTGCAGTGAGCCGAGATCGCACCACTGTACTCCAGCCCGGGTGACAGAGTGACACTCTGTCTCAAAAAATAAAAATAAAATAAAATAAAATAAAAAATAAGTAGAATGAAACTTAAAAGTCCATCAATGTGCTGGTTTCAAGCTCCAGTTTGAAACAGATGTTCACAGCATCACCCTGGCTCTGGCCTTTTGTCTCTTTTTCCTTTGTCTCCATCCTCTTTGCTGTATTATATTTTTCCTTCAGTTAGTACCTGTCACAGATGCAAATACTTCTGTCACAGTTCCAGTGTCCCTCACATTTCAAAATCCTAACACTCCAGAATCCAGAGGAATAAACTGAAGTTCTTCTCCAAATCCTAAGGTAAAGTTTAAATAATTAACATTGGTTGAGCAACTACTATGTGCTGGGCACTATTCTAGGCACTGAAAATATAGTGGTGGATGTGACAAAAAACCTACTTCCATGGTGCCTACAATGTAGTGAGTGGAGACAATCAAACACAAATACATTAGGAAGTGATGAAGGTCATAAAGAAGTGAATAAGAGCATAAAGCATGGTAAATATACCACAAGTGATGGGTGACATTTTAGAGAGTTCAATCAAGGGAGGCTTTTTTGAGAAGGCAGTATTTGAGCAAATATCTGGATGAAGTGAGGAAGCCATGTGAGGGTAATGTTGATTGTAATTGTGCACAGAATTAATGTTCTGTGTACAAGGAACAGCGAAGATAAATGATCTAAAAGGGAGCAACCGTGGCTGTTTCTGAAACACCCCAAGACCAATATGGCTAGACAAGTGTGGGTTGTAGTATAGAGGGTGGCAGGAAATGAGGTCAGAGAGATAGGTGGGGGTTCGTGTTACATACGGCTCTATAGGCCATGGTGATGAGTTTGGATTTCATTCCAAAAGTGATGGAAAACCACTGAATTATGAAGAAGAAAACATCACTTATCTATATTTGTTTAACTATGATGAATCAAGAAATTAGTAGGTTGATCTTGCATGACAAGCATGTTCAGATGTTGGTAGATCAGAGTTGAAGCAGCAGCTCCATGGTTTCATCAGGGTCCCAGGTACCTTCGGTCTTTCTATTTTATTATCTTTAATGTGTGGTTTTCCTCCTTATAGGCACAATGGCTTTTGCACCCTGGATTTCACTACTATGATCCAGGCAGGAAGAAGAAGGAAGACCAAACATTAAAAGCCACATGCCAGCTGAATCTTTTTTTTTTTTTTTTGGTATCAGAAAAACAATAGTTTATATGGAAGCCCCATTTAGTAGACTTATGCTCATATTCATATGAAGAAGAATTGATCTCAATTCTTACCACACACCATACCCAAAAATTAATTGACCATACACCTGAATGTAAATGAACTATACATTTTCTAAGAGAAAATATAGGAGACTATATTTGGGGGCAGGAAAATATTTATTAGGACACAGAAAATACTAAATAACAAAAATAAAGTAAAACAATAAATTATATTGCATCAAAATGAAAAGATTTGCTTGTCAAAATATATTGATTGGGAAGAAATATTAGCAACACATACATCTGACAAAAGAGTTGTACCCCATAATATATAAAGAATTTCTACTGCTCAAAAAATAAGACATATAACTCAGTTAAAAACAAATGCAAAAAATACTCAACATTATTAGTTATCAGAGAAATGCAAATTGAAATCACAATAAGATATCACAAATCCAGGAGAATAACTAAAGTGAAAAAGACTGACATTGAATATTGGTGGGAATGTACAGCAGCTAGACTTCTCTTACATTGCTGGTTGGAATATAAAATAGCACAACCACTTTAGAAAACTGTGGAAGTTTCTTTATAAGTTAAACATGTATTTACCTCATGAGGTAGCAATTTCACTCCTAGATATTTACTGAAGAGAAATGAAAACACATCCACAAACACACTTGCACAACAGACTTGTTGTGCAAACAGATTTGCACAGCAATGATCATAGCAGCTTTATTCATACTAGGCCATATGGATATGAACACAATTAGAATGCCCATTAACAGGAGAATGGATTGTTGTGTATGTGTACAATAGAAAACTACTCAGCAATAAAAAGAAATGAGCTATTGATACATGCAACAGACAGCATGGACAAATGTCAAAATATAATGTTGAGTTAATTAAGCTGGACACAAAAGAATAGATAAATTTATACGAAAGTCTAGAACAGGCAAAACTAATCTACACAGATAGAAATCAGAACAGGGGTGCCTTTGGGAGAGGAAAATTGATTGTAAAGGGGAACAAAGGAACTTCCTGGGAATGATAAATGTTCTATATATTGTTTCGGCTGTGACTCTACCAATGGAAGCATTTGATAAAACTCACTGTATTGTACACTTATAAGGTGCATTTCATACTTTGTAAATTATACTCCAATTAAAAAAGAAAACCCAGGTACTACAAGACCACTCAGGTTATTATATGGAGAAGTGACTGATGTAGCCTAACCTAGAAAGCAGGGCAATAATTAGAAGATTACCATGGTTGGCTTAGACCAGACTGAGAGGTGGCCAAGTTCCAAATATATTTTGAAAGTGGGGTCAATAAGATTAGCTCATTGATTGACTATAAATGGTAAGAGGAAGAAATGAGTAAAGTCTGGTTCTTAGGTTTAACTCTTCATAGCTTGGTGAATAGTGATACCATTTGCTAAAATGAGGAAGAAGCAGTGAAGAAGGAGGCTTGGGTAGGAGGGTATGAGCAGAGAAATCAACATTTTGGTTTTGAGCTTGACATGCTTGTCAGACATGTACATGGAACTGTCGAGTAGGCAGGGTGGATATCATATTCGAGTAGAAGAGTGAAGTTTAGAGAAGAGATCAGATACAAATGTAAAATAGAAGCTGTGAGACTGGCTGAGATCCCCTGAAGAGTTAGGATAGATAGAGAAGAGGACAGATGGCTGGGACTGGCAGCTGGCATGTTTCCAGAGGTTTTGTAGGAGTGGGGAAGATCTGAAAACAGCAATGAGGAGCAAAGAGGGTCCCACTCAACCTCCACACCATGTAGTATGTAGCACGTGGGGAAGAAATGGCCATCTCTTAAGAGGACTGCAGGGGAGAAGGTGGGCTCAGGGACTCAGCCAACTTTTTCATCTGCAAAATCCTCTATATACTAGACCTCTTTTCTGAACAATTCTTTGCTCTTCCTGCTCTAACAAAAACTTAGCTGTCCCAGAATAGTGAGGCATAGTTTAGTTAGAACAACATAATTAAGGGTATATTCAAAGAAGTTGGGGAGATACAGGATTTTGCTGATGACAGACTGTAAAGGACCCACTGGAAAGGTTGGAAGGATTGGGGAGAAGTGGGTGATTAGGCCACATTCTGGAATGCAGTATGGGTTTAAGAGATTGCATAATGGGAGAGGTGATCTAGGAGACTTGGGTGTCTGGTGGGTTATAATCATGTAGAGGCTAGTCCTGATGGTCTTTTGGATGTAATTGAATAATTATTTCTAACTGCGCCTTCCCCTTGGGACTGGTCACTTTGACAATTTCTGGTGGGGGGTAAGTGGTGTGGTAAATGGTATGGTAGATAGTGTGGCCTCAGGGAATGGTGGTCTTCCCAGGAACAGAGTTCTGCGAGTCTTCCTTAAATCCTGCCATGATTGATAAGACTGAAGAAGGGAGTCTCACCAGGAAGCTGGGCCACATCCTGTCACACCTCTGTGGCCAGAGAAATGAGATTACAGAGACTACAAATGCCTGGAATTGAGGGATCGTGTGTGTGTGTATGTGTGTGTCTGAGCACGTGGGCTATGGAGAAGAGGTTGCCACGAGTTACTAAGAGACAAGAGAGAAGGGTTGCTGAATGGCCAAATGCAGCATGCAGTCATTAGAGTCTCTTACCCAGCAACCAGCAATGACAATACTGTTGAGAAAGTGAATTTGGAAAGAGTGTGGGTGGATCTATGTAAACATATCCAAATTCTGAAAAACTGATAGGAAACATTAGTGAGTAAAAAAAAAGTCACACAATTTGAGTGACAATATTATATTCTAACTTGATCAAGGATCATGTTGTATTTTTGTGTGTTTAAACACTTAACCATCACAAAGTCCTGAATTCTTTTTTTTTTTTTTTTTTTTTGAGATGGAGTCTCACTCTGTCGCCCAGGCTGGAGTGCAGTGGCGCAATCTTGGCTCACTGCAAGCTCCGCCTCCTGGGTTCACGCCATTCTCCTGCCTCAGCCTCCCAAGTAGCTGGGACTACAGGCACCTGCTACCATGCCTGGCTAATTTTTTTGTATTTTTAGTAGAGACAGGGTTTCACCGTGTTAGCCAGGATGGTCTCGATCTCCTGACCTCGTGATCCACCCGCCTCGGCCTCCCAAAGTGCAGTCCAGAACTCTTAATGTTGTGTTGTATCAATTTTGCTAACAGTTATGCTTGAATAGCATTGCTCGGAAGTAGCTGGTGACAATTTGTAAGATATATCTTCTCTTTTTCACAGGAAGAACTGAAAAGATTGCAGAATCCTCTAGAACAAGTTAATGATGGAAAATATTCATTTGAAAAGTAAGTAAAAAGTATTAAGTTAAATCATCTGCAAGGTTGGAAAGCTTGAGTAAAAAGAAAATCTTTCTGGTAAAAATAAGTAAGTAAATTGGACAGTTTCTTATGTTATCATTGTGGTCAGAGCCCAGAAATGTGGCTCATTTGAGATATAGGTAGATAAATGTATGACTAGTTGAGCAATGAAAAACAAGCTCTACTGCTTAACAGAGTAATATGATGCCTGGAAGATGTTTCTGGTGGTATGTCTGAGGGCTTGAAACTTAACTCTGACCTGTCTTAGTCTTTTAATCAGGGACATTTGTAGAAGGCAGGCATAAAATTTGTAAAAAGTGCAAAGCTAACACTAAGACTAACAGACTGAACATTCAAATTAACACTACAGAATGGGACAAAACTGAGCTAAAATAAAGCAAAAAAGAAGAGATGAAATTGAACAGAGATAAAAGTAAATATTTATAATATACCCTGTACTGTTGAACACTCAGAGACTCATCAAATTCTGATTATAGCCTTTTGATATAGGCATTATTATTTCCATTTCACGGATGAGGAAAAACAGGCTCAGCGAGGTTTCAGCAACTCCATGTATACTCAGCTAGTGAGTGGTGAGAATGGGAAATAAACCCGGGTTTGGTTGCCTCGAGAATCCTTGCTCTCAATCACTGGCTGAGCCCTAATGTACTCAGGACTAGTCAAGCTGGTTGGGTGTCATGCTTGGCTCTGGACACCACGTTTAAGAATCACATTGACATTGCCAAGAGTATTAGAAGAGGTCAATTAAAATTGTGAGAGTTCTGGAACCATGTGAAACTACTACAAAGAGCTGAGGATGTGTAGCTTGGAGAAAAGAAGTCTCAGAAGAAATGTAATAGCTGTCCTCAAACATTTGAAGGATGTTCCTATAAAAGAGAGGCTAAGTTGCTCTTCGTGCTCCAGAAAATAGAACAAGAGTCAATGAGTAGGATATATGGAGAAACAGCATTGTGACTCAGATAAGGAAAAACTTTTGTAAAAGTTCAACCTACCCCCAAACAGAATGAACTTTGTTAAGAAGTGAGCCGTGGAGGGGCAGAAAGGCATCACACCTTTCCTCACTCATTATAAGGAGCACAGCCAACACTCCTGTAACAAAAGACAGGTTAACAAAAGAAAAGCACAACAAGCTTATTTAATCAGAGTTCTTTATTTTGTTGTATTTTATTTTTTTGAGGTGGAGTCTCACTCTGTTGCCCAGGCTGGAGTGCAGTGGCACTATCTCAGCTCACTGCGACCTCCGCCTCCCGGGTTCAAGTGATTCTTCTGCCTCAGTCTCCTGAGAAGCTGGGATTACAGGCACGTGCCACCACGCCCGGCTAATTTTTGTATTTTTAGTAGAGTCAGGGCTTCACCGTGTTGCCAGGCTGGTCTCAAACTCCTGACCTCAAGTGATCCACCCACTCAGCCTCCCAAAGTGTTGGGATTACAGGTGTGAGCCACCGCGCCGGTCTATTTACTCAGGGTTCTATGTGACATGGGATCCTTCAGAAATGAAAACCAGGGAAATTTTCCACTTTAATAGTTAGTTTTGATGAAGAATGGACAGCCCTGTAGAAATGTGATTGGACAAAAAGGAAGGATCTACTGTATGAGATGGGAAAACCCAGCAAGGCTGTCAGTTCAGATTCTTCTTGGCCTCTCTGTGCAGCATTCCTTCCTCTTGGGCATGGGGCAAGAACCTCTGGAATGAGGGTCTTAGGACTCTCCGTCAGACTAGGTAGGTCAGAGAATTTGTTTATGACCAGATTTTACACAGAAAAGCAGGGGAAGGTTAGAGGAATATTTTTAGTTTTTGTAGCTTGTTTGGGGGAGAAGGGTTCTAGTTTCTATGACCTGCCTTGTGGAAGAGGAATTCTGGTTTTTATGGCTTGCATCATGGAAGAAAGAGGGACAGGGACAGAAGGGCAAGAGAAGGTCAGAGAGAAAGTGACTTTGCTTCTGAGGCCTTTTCTCCTTCGGTTCAAAGAACTCAGCATGCCAAACACCATACTTTACAGTATGTGCTGAGCCCCAGTAGCTGATAAGATACTGGAAGTGCCCAAGAAGAGTGTAAATGACCATACATCTGAAATGTTGTTAAAAAATATCCTGGAAAATTGAAAACTTTGGGTCTGATGCCTCTTTCTACTCTTTCTTAGCTTTGTCAGTCCAGACAAAATTTTTAACCATCTTGAGCCCCACTATACTTATCTTTAAAAATGAGAATAGTAGTCTTGACTTGACAGTCTTATTGAGAGCATTAAATGAGACAGCCCATAATAGCCTGATACCTTCAATGCTGGCTCCTTTCCTTTCCATCTGGGCAAGGGTTTGGGCAAGACAATCTCAAAGGTTCATTCCATCTGCACGATCCTAAGAATCTGGCATGTCATCAGATTGAAAGGAAGTTTCAGCCCTTTGACCAAATGAAGTTTCTGTTCATTTATTTTTATTATGCCTGCTCTCGTTAATATGAATAAATAAGAATAAAATAGTAGAATTTCCCTCCACCACCACCGTCAATAGCTATATGTAAACAATAACTAAAGAGTTTTTTGCTGACAGTAGAATGAAGACTTTTCTTTTATAGAGATTACTGTTGTAATGACATTAGGTCTAGATCAGTTATTTTTCACCTTGGCTGCACTTAGAATCAGCTGGGGAGCTTAATAAAAATGCCCTGGCTTAAGCTCCACTCTAGAAAAATTGAATTAGATTCTCAGGGGATGAGGCCCTGGAATCAGTATTTCTTAACATCTTCCTTCATGTAGCTCTAACACGGAGTTGGGGTTGAGAACCAGTAGTGAAAATATATTTTAGGCTCATTTCACTTATTCAATAATCTCCTCATGCAGCTTAATTCTCCAAGGACACACTTTCTGTATGATGTTTGGCCCATTTATTTATTAAACCTGGCCATGCTGGTTTTTCATTATTGATTTTTTTTTTTTTGAGATGGGGTCTTGCTCTGTCACCCAGGCTGGAATGCAGTGGTGTGATCTTGGCTCACTGCAACCTCCACCTCCTGGGTTCAAGCAACTCTCCTGCCTTAGCCTCCTTAGTTGCTGGGATTATAGGTGCCTGCCACCACACCGGCTAATTTTTGTATTTTTAGTAGAGACAGGGTTTCACCGTGTTAGCCAGGCTGGTCTCGAACTCCTGACCTCAGGTAATCCACCCGCCTTGGCCTCCCAAAGTGCTGGGATTACAGACGTGAGCCACTGCGCTCAACCCATTATTGATCTTAACGTAGGAAATGAAGTTTTTTTTGTTCTGCTAACTGACCACAATTCTATATTAAACCTCTCACTAACACCAGCATGTATCTTTCTCAACTGTCTTCTCTCAGGAAGATATTTGAAAATTAATGGTATATACGTGGGTTTCCATCTGCCCCACCCTACTCTTTCTGCTTTATTATCCAGAGGACTGAGAAAGCTAAAACTTTCTGGAAATGACCAGTTTGTTTTGTGTGCTTATTTTTTTTCAATCCCGATTGAGGAATTCCAGCAATGGGAATTAAATACTTCCTTCAAAGCACATGGGCCCATGGGGGTAACCTTTCCTTTCATGCTTGTCCAGGACAGAGAGAAAACAAGCAGTGACCACCAGCCCTAACAACTATACCCATTTGCCTGGAATTCTGGAGATTTTTTTGGTCTGTTTCAGGTCAGGACTACGTCCTTGAATGCTGTCAAATTTGATTGAAAAATTGGTGTACTTTGAGTGAGCAGATTAGGCATTTCGTTATAGCTGCAGCTGACTTAGGTGCTGATGTAAATCATCTCAGCTACTTGAAATAACCATAAGTTAAGTGATAGTGGTGTCAGAACAGTTGATTGGTTATTCCCCCTTGGAACATTACATTTATTCTGAATGCTCAACAGGGTTTTGTGGTAGACAGTTAGTGTGAAGGGGAGGGAAGCTGCAGCTCCATACTATCTGAGACCATTGGCAGAGCCAATCAAGTGCATTTGTGTACACACACACACACACACACACACGAGCTTAGCGAAGCTTGGCATGTGCCAATAAACAGAGAAGAGCAATTGGTAAGGCCATTAATTGGAAGGCTACTTATGACTCCGTTGTTTAGGAAAATCACTTATTAACTTAAGTAAGACCTTAGGCTGACTGCCATATTTTTGTAAATATTAAATCAGCCTGGGTTTCTGGTAAGAGATGTGTGATTGCAAGTCACACATTGTACTGAGGAGTAATCATTTTATTACCCACAGACAATTATTGATGGAATGAACTAAAGCTATCAGATTTAAACCAACAGGTATTGGTAGTTTATAGTTTGGTGAGGATATATAAATAATACCCCCAAATTAGCAAACGTGTTAATATTATGAAAGTTTTATTTTCTTTATGAAAACATTAGGTCTGTCTTTGTTGCATATCTACAGGCCCTACAATATATAACTTTATTGCTTAATTTGTAATTAATAAGTAACAAGAGTCTTAAAGTATCCTTGTCATAAGTCTGTATATATAATATATAGAATTATAAAAATAAGACTTTCTGTGTTAGTCCTTTCTCACACTGCTATGAAGAAATACCTGAGACTGGGCAATTTATAAAGAAAAGAGATTTAATTAACTCACATTTCCACATGGCTGGGGGCGCCTCAGGAAACTTGCAATCTCGGCAGAAGGCACCTCTTCACAGGGCAGCAGGAGAGAGAATGAGTGCCCAGCAATTGGGGGAAGCCCCTTATAAAACCATCAGATCTTGTGAGAACTCACTATCATGAGAACAGTGTGGGGGAAACTGCCCCCATTATTCAATTATTAGATTATCTCCACCTGGTCTCGTCCTTGACATGTGGGGATTATTACAATCCAAGGTGAGATTTGGGTGGGGAGAGAGCCAGATCATATCACTTTCTATGCCCACCTACCCAGGATTAGGTTCCTCCGTGATTCTCCTTTAATAATATCTGTCACACTTGCAAATACTTGTGTAATGTTCATGTTCTCCTAGATTGTGGGACCACAGGAACAGGGACCATGTCTAGTGTTTTCACCATTTTATCCTCCATGCTTTGCATCATTCCTGCCACACAAGAGACATTAAATATATGTGTAGAATGAGTGATTAACAATTAATTAGTAATGGACCCTGAATACCAATGGCACAGAGTAAACAAGAGTGCTTCCTTGCCCCTCAACAATCAGGCTGAGTAACCCCAAGCTATCTTGGGGTGCTGACACCACCTACTTGTCATGTAGGAATTTATGTGCTCTCCTATGTTTTCCCTACCGCCAGGACATTCCTTTCTAAAAAGAAAAAAATACATTTGTGATTCTAAGGGATCTCTCCAGCACAATTTTTTTCTTTTTTTCCCTTTTCTTTACTACCACCATATTCCTAGTCCTCATAACCTGGACTATTTGAATAGCTTTCTAACTAGTTTTATGTCACTCTCCTTGCTCACTCCCACCACAAATCATCCTTAAACCCTCCATTTATCATATTTCCCTGCTCCAAATGCATGGAGCTCCCTGCTGCAATAGATTATGATCTACAGTGTGAAAAGCTTTTCACACTGTAGATCATAATCTATTGATGGTTTGTTAAATAAATTTGGTGGGTCACCACTGACCTTTTAAAAAAAGTTTCAAATATAATTCAAAAATCAAAGTATATCACATGTAGTTGGGGGAGTAATGTTTCTTGAAATTTTTATTGCACACACACACACACACCCCTACCTTACCACATGCACAAGTACTGAATTGGGATGTTAAATATATTACCTATGAAAACTTCAGTCAGTGGGATTAAGTTTAATAATCCTGATATTAAAATACTCCAACCAGTGCCTTCTGGTGGAGAGAGCAGTGAGATGTGAGTTTTAATGGGGTTCCTCCTGTACAGTAAATTTAACATTATCTCTCCAAGCTTCAGATTTTTCAGCTGTACAGTGGGGAAAGTGACTTAGTTAATGGAAGTTACTGTGATAAATAAGATAATGCACATAAAATGCCTATGACAGTGTGTTATACACATTATGAGACCAGTAACTATTAGCTTTCTGCTTATCAAAGCCTATTTCCTTTTGTTCTCCTATTTTTTTCATCCACTTCGACCAAATTTCTCTTTATTTTCTAAAAATATCCTTTGAATGTTTTCACCTCTATTTGTTTTATTGTCTTCCTCATATGTTGCCCTTCACTCTCAACTTACCTACTTCCTATCCGTCCTTCAAAACTCATCCCAAGAGCTGCCTTCTCCATGAAGCCCTTCTTGATCGTTGTAGCACTAAGAGTGCTATAAGCTCACTGAAAGCAGTGATCATTTCTCTATAGCCCTCTGCCTTTCTACAGGTCAGAGATCCATGCTTTGTTCCCAGTGGAAGCCCTGAAACGGCTTACAAATGAAAGGAGGAAAGGTCCAGTGGCAGTGGTACTACTGGGGATGAGTAAGGTCTTCTCTACAACTTACTAGTTGGCCAGTATCATGGAATTTATAACCATATCCTTGTGTTTTTTCTCCCCCTGAAATTGTCCAATATGCTCCTTTTCTTTTCTCTTAAAGGAAATGATTTTCATACCATAGCTATGAATGTTAGTTGAGAACAGCAAAAGGACAACAGAAATAAAAGTCAAAGCCACATTTTTTTTTTCATGATATGGTTACTCATCCATCATCCATCAACAGGAACTTTAATAAATTAAAATAAACAAAATTGAATCTACATCTTATTTTACACATAAGTATAAATTAGCAGTATTATTGCTATAGATGTTAACCTTCTGGATTGGGAGATATTGAGACATTATTTCTGTTTCTAGTCACCAGCTGGCCATGGATGCAGAGAATAATATTGAAAAGTATCCCCTCAATCTACAGCCCTTGGAATCAAAGGTGAAAATGTAAGTTATTTCAAAGTATAAATTAAGCAATTAGTTCTAGTTTTATGAATTCCTGAATAAATCTGGAATTTTCGGGCACAACAGTTATGCATCTTTATTTTACATTCATGTGCTGCATATTATTTCCTCCCTCTTCTAAGCAGGAACACAGCTACTTTGGGTACACAGCACCATCTACTGGGTAGTACAGGGAATTATTTGCTTGCCATTATTTTCACCACTTTTTGGTTTTTCCATTTCTTGTCTAGTACAATCCTTTAACTTCCACTAGCATTTTCCTTTGCCTTTCGTCTTAGTAACTTGGTGGTTAATTCTATCTTTGAACAATTTGGTTATTTCCACCTCAAGCCATCTATGTATCACACACACACACACCCTTTTAAAAATCCTCTTCTTTCTATTTCAGCTTCTTTTCAATTATTTTGGGAAAATGTTTCTTCTCTTCTTTTTTTCTCACTTCTTATCCTTTTCTTCTTATTGTCTGTTAAGATACCCAAATGTAAGCCTCCTCCCCCATTATAAATGACTATTACCTTAAAATAGTGCTAACAACATCTCAATATTAACAAAATGAAACTAACAAGATCCAAATTGAGAAAGACTTTATTATAGAACAAAATATTAACCTTCTAAAACCATTTTAAGTAGAGAAGGGGCCTGTTATAATTACCTTGGAAGCAATTTCAAAAATATTTATGACCGTTTTCCGAGATCTTTTCCTGTTCTGATTTTCCTTCAGAAGCATATATGAGAAATGCCAGTGAGTGTATATTTAATCTCTCTCCCCACCCTCTCCCTCACAAACACACACACACACACACACACACACTCACACACTCAGTATAACACTCCGAGAAGCATGAGAATTTAAACGAGAATGTTAACATATCTGAGCTTGGCCAGAATCACTGATCTGTTTTTTAACGTGCAAGGAGGAATCTTTTAGAAAAGAAATCGCCCTAAAGAAGGGCACCTTGAGGTGTGTACAACGTTGAACAACACCAAGTTGTTGCTGGACTTAGGAACTAAAACAGAAATCACACAAATACATAATATCCTGCTGGATAAGAGCAAATACCAATACATACCCCTGTAAATCTATGTTAACCTTGGTCACCAGTAAAAAGCTTGCCTCTGCATGAGCATAGAAGGCTACCCCTCAAGATGAAGTCCAAACAAGACTTCTGAACCAGTGGGGTGCCCAGCTACAAAGTTCTGTGTCACACTTACTAAATACATAATGAATCAGGCTATCGAATCATTTTGTGTAAGCAGTGTGTCAGCCTCACTACACAGGACATTAGTTGGCAAACATAGGTTGCTTTATCATTAGGAATTTTCTCATTAAGATAAGGTCCTGTTAAATGAAAATGTGCTGGTGAAAGAAAAGTTGGTGTATGACAAATTAGAGTGTTTAATGTGAATGCTGAAATTAAGTTAGAAAAACTCCTGGGTCTTTTTCAGTTCCCATCACCTTCAATATGTAGGGGCTGTGGGGTAGGTACCAGGAGAAGGACTAGGCAGAGAAAAAAAATCTCTGTGCTTCAGATTCCAGCCAGCTCAGAGAGCCTGAGATTTTATATTTGTTGATTTGTTGGAGGAGTCTCAGCTCAATGAGGTGCAAACAGAATGGTTTTTATCTCTTCTAATAATTCTGAATCCCATTTCTGCTCACTGGAGAGAAAGGAAGGAGAGAAAACTTAATCTTGCCCAACAATAGAACTTGAGTCCCATTGGAGAGTTTAGTCTAGTTCAGTGACTTTTGTCTGATGTGGTTATTAAATTCTTAACTCTCATGGCAGGTTGAAAATCTCCTCTCTGCATACATGAGACCTTTTCTACAGCTGAGTATTCTGCTTCCTTCCTTTCCCTCTCCTCTTTCTATCTCCCCTTCTCTCCTCCTTCCTTCTCCCTTCCCTCCTTCTCCCTTCCTTTATCAGTGTTACCTCTCCCACCCCCATGTACTAAATACCAAGACTGCCCCAGGTTTCCTATGAATAGATGGCGGACACTTTCACTCTCAGCAGTTGTTTCCTTTAACAACTGTCCTATGTTTTGGGACTCTGAGGGAAGGGGCCATTGGGTCTCCTGTAATCCCCCCAATAGTATAGGCTGCACATCCTCAATGGGTTTGTGCCCCTTGCTCTGCGGGGGCTTTGCCCCATGATGCACCAAGCAGTGCCTTCCTCCAGCTGACCGTGGCATCTTCAACAGGGACAATCTTGGGATATTCTCATTCCTGCTTTCCAAGATAAGTTTTTTTAGTCCTGAAGAGCATTGGGTATAAAAAATGTGCCCTTGTCCCAGGTACCACGGTCACCCTGTATTATCACAGGCTTTCTCTTAGGGTCTTTTGACTTCTTTTGGTGGGGACCAACTGAGAGTCTATCTTCTCCTGGGGGTGGAGGGAAGTGAGGGTCAGTCCACCATAAAATCCCCTCTCCTGAAGGCTCTCCTTTCCCCTCCATGATGAGAAAAGAGTAAACAGTTCCCATACAGGGTGTCTGGCTAGTCTAGTGTCTGCAAGCCCTGAGGGGGATGGAGGTGCTGTGGCAAGGCAATCTCTGAATGTAAAAGAGAGGAAAGATGAGACCTGTTCTCAGGTGTGGACTGCCTTCACTGTCTACCTGTGGGAATCCCAGGATGGGGTCAGAATAGCAGGAAAGGGTCTCAGATGGTTCCTCGTACTCAGGACATCGTGAAAAGGAAAGAATTTATAAGAAAGTGTAAACCTGCGTGTGGCAATGCAAAGTATCAGTGGCAGGAGGCAGAGGCCTGTCAGAAAGTGTGGCTCAGTGAAAAAATGTGTGAGTGTCGGGGAGGGTGCCTGTATCAAAGTTGAAGGGAGTGTCACAAAGGGTCCATTACCTGGTTCATGAATGCAACTGTTAAGAGGTAATTTTGAGTATTAGACCAGAGGATCAAAAGAGTGCATCAAAAGGGCAAAAGCAATCAAGATCGTATGGCTATTAATGAAAAGGCATTTGGGGGAGGTAAAAGGCAAGTTCTCTGAAGATTAAACAAAGGCAAGCCTCTCAAATCAGAAAATTTGTGAAAGTAAAAGTAATAGTGAAAGCACCAAAAGGAAGGCTCTCTGAGCAACTCTAAGGCTAAAGATGAATGTGTTCCTAAGAGCCTTAAGGCTGGAACAAGCTTTGGGGGATGAAGGTGCACAGCAAAGGAATGCAGGCTTAGTGAGAAGGCCTCGCAGCACAGGCAGAGGTGGGCTCCCCCAGCCCCAACAGGCTGCTGCCCTCCACCTTGTAATTCACTCTTTTCATGTTGTAGCAAGATCTAAAACAGATCTTCCTAATACAAACCCTCATGTAAAAGTTGTTCATTAGCTATGTGCGATCCCCCAATCCCCTTCCATACATTTTTAACAATGTATTTACTTTGTGATGGAACAACATAGAGATGTATTGAATACAAATTGCTTTTTTGAAAGTCAGCTCAATAAATATGCTCAATCCCTCTCCTGATTTTTATTATTATATTTGATTTTGTAATGAAACAACATTTAGGTTCTATAAAGGAGAGAGAGGGGCAGAGAGAGAGAGAGAAAGACAGAGAGACAGAGAGAGATAGCATTCCCAAAAGAACTTTAAAGATGTTTAGTAAACCCTTATTAAATTGCATTTGAGAGTAATACATTTCTACTTTAGTCAAAAATTTAATTAAAAGAAGATATGAGAGAAGAGTGGTTGAGAGCACAGACTTTGAGTAACTTAGGTTCAAATCCCAGCTCTGCTTTTTACCTGCTGTGTGACCTTGGGAACACCAGTGGCCTCTCTGGGCCTCAGTTGCACTCCTCTGTAAAACGAGAATGCTAACATGTCTTATTAAATTGTAGTCAGCTTTCAATGAGAAAATTCAAGACTAGACATTTAGTCTACTGTATTTTTTCCATGCAAACATACCTTTTTCAAACATATTTTTATGTCCACTTGGGCTAATAAAATATTGCCAGGAGGGATCCTTAGATGATTTGCACAGGTGACTTCAAAGTATTTGAAAATGTTTGATATGTCCTTTCCTTAAGTAATTATAATAGTTTATCTAGGAGCTCTATTTGTCAAGTTTGGGCTAAGTAATTTACATACATTATCCTTGACTTCTTGCAGGGGTTACAAAGAAGTTATTCTTACTCCTATTTTATGGATAAGAAAGAGGGAGGCCAGTGTGTTTAGTATTTTGTCTAAAGCTACAGCTCATGAGAGGTAAACTAGGCAAGAACCTCTATGACTCTAAGCATACTTTATCATGAGATAAAACTTTTTCTTCTTTGAGCTATTTCTGGGATGCAATGTTAGAAGAATTACATTTGTTAATCACCTACTTGTCATATATCCCAGAACTGTGGAGTGGTCACTGCCCTCAAGGATTTTACATTCTAGTGGGGGAAGAGGACTTGTTTGAAAAGAAGCATTTGGATTAGCCTAATCTGATACTCTTCTTTTTGGATGTTTAATAGTATTGCAGGACCACTATTTTCTTTCTTAGACTCAGTAACCCTGGGTGCATTATTTCTGAAGCACCTTCTCAGTCCTCATAAAGAAAAGAGTGTTATAGATCCAGGACCCAAATTGCCCAAATTCTCATGTGTGAGAACATTGACATTCTTGACAGTCTGCAAAGTTATGGGTATTTGAGAAGAGACCTATGGAAAGAGCCAAGAGAGCATAGGCCCTGGTGCGTAGGAAGCATCATCCATCAGTGTGGCAGTGAAGTCGAGAGCTACAAACCGGGCGGATACTGGAGTGGAGGGGAAGCAGGCTGGAAAGAGAGGGCAGTTTCTGTGGGAAACCTGCCTGTTGCATGCAGTGGCCCCGTATTGACATTTGAACAAGTTTGTATCAGGATACAGGGTTGGGATAGATAACAAATGATGCAAATATGATATATCTGTTAGGATAGCTTTTAGCTAGCTGCATATAGAAAAATCAACTAACAGACTGAAATAAGTAGGGGTTCTACTTCTCCACTCACAGTCAGTATATGACAAGCCAAACCCACTGTCTCCATCCTGTTTCTCTATTTCTGCCTTTTGCTGAACCGTAAGGAGGGAACAAACGTAATGGGGAGGCAGGGATCTGCTCTGAGTTTTGGGAATGATGATCAGTTCCCATCTTGTTTCCTGAGACCGGCCAGGACTGTTTGGTTGTAAGTATCAGAAACTCAGCTCAAACTAATTTATAGATGTAAAAAAGATCATATTGAATCACATAACAGAAATACCCATGGTCTAACGTGCTTTAAGCACACTGAAACCCGGGCGATTGGGCAAGGTTATCAGGCATCTGTCTTTCTTCTTCTATAAACTCTGCTCTTTCCATGATTCATTCTCATGTGGGTTCTCACAACATTGCAACAAAGTGGCCACTGCCAGCTCTAGGCTTGCAGGTAGTTTCAGCTCTACTTGCTGAAACTTTAGATGAAAAAGAGGGCCTTTTTCTCATAGTCTCAGTACAATCCCCAGAGCAGCCTTTAATAGACCTGGCTTGAACCATGTGTGCATCTCCAAACTGAACCAACCACGGCCCTCTGGCTAGTCAGCCCGGGGGAATGGACCACCCTCTACAGTGATAGGGTAGGATCTGTTTCATCCAAAGCTCGTGGGTAAAGAGTTGGTGGATCCGCAAAACCAATGAAAAGGAGAAATTAATATTGGGCACGCAAAATCTACCCATGTGATAATCATGGTGCCTCCCTCACAGTTCACTTGTGGTAAGGATTGAATGAGAGAATCAACACAAAAAAGAGCTCTATGTATGTCAGCTATTGTTTCCAAGATACTCAGATTCAATGTATCCTCTCTGATGGTGTCCTCTTTTGTCCATCCCTAAATTCAGCCTACTTGAGTTATAATGTATTTTGAATTTTTTATAATTGTTTGGTAACATATAAAAAATAGTACTTTCTCATAAAAAATCAAGATTTCTGGCTGTTCTTGAAAAGTTGAAACCAATTATCAACTGCACCAAAGCAGGGTTGCCCACACTGCCCAGTCTGTGCCCCACTGCACAGTCTGCCCCCAGCCTGACCCCAGGTGGCTTCTGAGAGCCTCTTGCCATCTTTGTAGCCTCAGACTTACTGCTCTTCTCTGGGATCCTCCTGCTTCCTGCCTGGTGTCTTCACTTCTGTGCCTTTGCCCAAAGATCTTCTTCCTCTCCATCAATCTCAATCCCATCCATGCTTCAGGACTAATTAAAATACTAGGACTCCCTCAAGCCTTCTCTAAGCACCCTAGCTCTCTGGGAACCCTCTCCTCTCCTCTTCTAGATAAACATATGCATTGGCAACCCGGACTGCACTGGCTGTGAGTCCCCCAAGTGGCTGTGAGTGCATGACAGAGCCAACCGCACTGCAAAACACACAGGGATATACAGAAAAAGGGCAGAGGCAGGCAGATTGTGCCACCCCTGCTATAAGAGAAGATACACAGGAACTGACCTAGCAAAAAGAAAAATTGTTGAAAATGTATTTGTCATCTGTTTAGAAGTAAACCCTTACACTTTATTTATAATTCAAAATATAGGAGCACACAACATGTGCTTTCTTACTTCAACAAGCCTTTAAATAATTATAATGAATAGCATTGTCTAGTTTCAAAAAAAAAATGTCAAGGTAGTGGGTAATTTACTCTGTAGCCACAAAGGAGACTTGTGAACAAGAATTATGGTAAATCTAGGAGAAGAAGGCTGAAAGTGATTCCTTATGATTGAGAGATGAGGTGCTTCTAAATTTTACTTTAGTTCCCTCTTACAGTAAAATAACATCTGGAGATGGTATTAAGACAGCTTAATACTGGAACAATTTAATCTTTGAAGGTCATGTTGTAGGAATCGCCAAGGGGAGTAAATAACATGTAAACACTTTTCTATGATACAGAGAATAACATAGCATAGTTCCATCATTAAAAAACAATGTAGCAATTTTGGGTAATAGCCTGGTGTGACATGATGGCCCTGTCATTTTTTGACCCCAAATGCTAATTTAAAGACTTGTCCAGCTTATCATCTAGTCCTCAAAACTGTAATTATGAAGGACAAGTAGTAATGAGAAATATATATATCATAGTATGTTTTAAAAATAATAAGATCGTGTAATAAATTGTTTTCACATATGTGGATGACTATAAAATAAATATTACAAAAAAACAGCTCCTGTATTAAGAAAGTCAGTGGGTGCACAGATGTTTTAAATACATATTTTAAAAGTACTTAATATTGTCACCTTATAAATTAGAAAAGAAAAGGATATCCATTAACTAGGAAGAAAATAATGTTGTCTTCTTAATATCTGACTTAAGGAGAACTGGTATGCCAATTTCCAAATTCCATAAAACCAGGAGGGAGAAGAGGATGTTTAAGTGCAAATTCCTTTGCAAACCTCTCATCTCAGTTTTGCCCAATGTTATTTGGTTCTTTAGAGGTGTCACACCGCCCTCTGGTGTTCAACAAGCTAAAATGTAGTATCTCAAATGGCCACTATATTTTGTTTTTGTATGTTCTGAATAATGAAGACGATTTAAAGGGAAAAAAGGACAGTGTAGAATACCTCAAAGTCCTATAAAGTTGTGGGTGTTCTATTGGTTGTCAACATTTTCTAATTTTTAGACAGCCTTTAAAATGTTACACATTCTGAGCTCTTGACGGGCAGGTTTAGAGACTTTAGGAACCTTCAAGCAGCAGAATTTGTTAGCTGGGCTCTGGGATACCCCAAGCAACTCAGAGGATGTGAACATCACCGACAGCTTCCTTAAGTTCACTCCTCTCTGATATAACGGGTCTTGAAGAAGCAAGAAGACCACCAAACTCAGGCAGGCAATCTTATGGGACTCCCTTTCCCATTCTGCTTAAAATCTTTAAGCCAAAGAAAAACAGAAATAAAAATGCACTTTGAGCAAGATTTCGTAATAAAACAGTGACCAAATATAATTCAAATTTGGGCCAGATTCTGCTTTAGTGAGGCTTGAAGTATGTATAATCTGAAGAGTCCTTTAAAAAAAAAACTCTAAAAGTATCTTATTTTTACAATTCTATACAAATCATGAAGAGCCCCTCATCAGGATCTTGGAAGAGGCTCCTGGCCTTTAAGTAAGAACCCCTAAAGCTTAAGTTTCCTAGCTTCAGGGAATTGGCTACTGACCCAAAAGTATTGTTTTCACTACAGTTGATGGACTTTTCCTTGAGCATTGTAATTCCCAGACCTTTAATAAATTAGGGAAAACATACAGATTCAATAATGTGGTCACATTTTTTTTGTTATTTATATGCTGTGACCATTGAGAATTGATGATCTTTGAACTATTCCAGCCAAATGAGAATAAATAAGTTTGTTGATTCAGAAACAACTTTAATGACATAGGTTGTGTGTGAAAGAATTACAGAGATCAGATGCTTCCAGGAGTTTAGAAGAGATAGTGATAGAATTAATACAGCTATCTTAAACTATTTTAAAAGGCTGAATCCTAACAACTAGTCCGCATGAACTGTTAACTCCCAGAAGAGGTTAGACTGTGTTCAGTGACCCCCCCTATGAAAATCGAGATGTTAATCTCAAAGATCACAAGCCAGTCTGATATGATTTGGCTCTGTGTCCCTACCCAAATCTCACCTTGAATTGTAATGATCCCCACATGTCAAGGGTGTGACCAGATGTAGACAATTGAATCATGGGGCAATTTCCCCCATGCCGTTCTGTTGATAGTGAGTTCTCAGGAGGTCTGGTGCTTTTACATGGGGCTTCCCCCTTTACTCAGAAGAGGTGCCTTCTGCCATGATTGTAAGTTTCCTGAGACCTCCCCAGCCATGCAGAACTGTGAGTCAATTAAACCTCTTTTCTTAATAAATTACCCAGTCTCGGGTATTTCTTCATAGCAGCATGAAAACGGACTAATACACAGTCCATGGGGGAATCACTTAGCTTATATTAAGAAGAGGTTTCCGTTATCCTGAGCAGAAGATAATTTATTTTTTCTGATACTAATCACAGAAAATAACTTCCTTAGGCGAAACCTGAAATAGCTGCCTAATGACATTACATTAATTCTCTGAGTAGTACGTAACACTTGAATAATCTTTGTCCATTTCTTTATTTATAATCTTTGTCCATTTCCTATTCCCTTCCACAGTATATAAAACCCATGATGTGGTGCTCTCGCCTGCCTTGTGCCCCACAGCAGGGCCACTGCATTTGGCCATGCAGACTGTGCTGCACATCACTGACACCTTCACCTTGCAGTCATGCAAAGGACTGCTCTGGAGCTGTGCACGGCAGAGTCCCTGTTCAGAGTCTACAGCTGACCCTGGCACAGAATGGCCCCTCAAAAATCACACATTGAGTGCATGCAGTAGTAGTCAGCCTATTTATTATTCTCATCTAAAATATAAGATGAAAAATTGAAAGAATTTGTTGTCTCATAAATCAAAGTACATTTACCTGTGCAAACTAGTTTGTTTTGACTGATGAATTTTATTATTAAGTTGACTCTTTTAGGCCGGTTGAGTGCAGTCAAGTCTGTGAAAGTCAAACCAGTAAGGTAGGGAGACAGTCTCCATGGCTGGATTGAAGTTAAAGTTCAGGTCTCCTGATTCACTACATCACATTCTGTATGTTCTACTTCCCTTGGCACCAAAGCCAATTCCTTCAGACTCCTTGTGAGTTTCTGAGTCTGTGGACCATGATCCAACAGTAATCATGTGTGTGCTGTTTTTTGTTTTGTTTTGTTTTTTCAGCATTCAGCGAGCATGGCGAGAGTACCTGCAGCGGCAGGAGCCCCTGGGGAAGAGGAGCCCGTCCCCACCCTCTGTCTCCTCAGAGAAGCTGAGCAGCTCTGTCAGCATGAACACCTTCTCCGACAGCAGCACACCCGTGAGTGTCATGTTTCTTTTTCTATGTCCTGACTTGACATTCAACTGAAAGCCTAGACTTTGGTTCTAAGAGAGAAATCTTGGGATGTGAGCAGGTGGTTTGTGACAGTGAAGATCTATGTAGCTTATTTGCTACCCAGGAACCCATGGTGAGAGTTTTGTCACCTCAAAATAAAGACACAATTCATAAGCACAAAGTGAACTTTATCAAGTCTGGAGAAAATAGATTGCATTTATGTGTTCTCATTTCTCTATTATGGAGGTATCTTTTTTGCTTTTCTTTATAATAGCATATTTCTTTTAGTATGTGCTGTGTGTTTCTTTTATTGTGTGGTGCTAATATGATAGAAGATAAGATTGGTTATAAGGAGTAGAAAGAGAACTTTTACCAGAAGAATTGAAAGTGGTCACACACTCAGGGGTTGCAACTTAAATGTCTCCAGGGGCCAGGTAAGTCACCCTCATGACTGAGGTGGCTGAGCTGTGCCCCTGGCTACACGGAGAACATAGACCTCACCTGAAGGGCAGCGCACTTGGCTCCTGACAATGTGACACCATGTGGCGATACAGGCAGGCATGGCCAAATGTGATTTTCTTTCTTCAGGACATGTCAGAAATCTGCATTTTTAAGTGTTAGCAGCCAGTAAGAAAATTTAAAAGGTAAAGTAAGCATGCCTACAGACCACAATTGACCTACAGGCCACCAGTTTAAGAAATCTGAGATAGAGAGTTAAGGAATAAGGGAATCTGCTGGAAGTCTTTATTTTTAAAAAACACCAAAAGTGGGAAGAAATCAGTGATGAGGGATTTATGAACCAGGATTTTGTGGATTTAAGCATTGTGATAATTTGTAACCAGTCACTGAAATGCTGAAAAGTTAGAGAAATGAAGTAATTACACAAGTATATTACTTCCAAAAATTTTTCTTTTACTTTTGGTTATCATGTTTATTCTGTGGTAAAAAGGTTTCCCAACACTCAACGCAATGTATTCTTTTTGGGATCAGGTAAAAGTTACTGTATTTGAAATGTTTTCAGATGGTTGCATTGCATATTCTTCAATAAATGGTTTTGCCTAGATATGGATTTAAAGAGAGAGAATAAGTTGAGTTTATAGCAGTGCAAATAAAAGTGGCAGAAGATCCATTTTTAATTGACAGCAGAAATTGAACATTTAGTGAATCTTCACTTTTTAAAACAATTATTTAGGGGAATGGCTTATCCTAACTGACCTCACTATCACTAGAGGGCACTCGTGAACTACACTGGAAAATGCCAGGGCTTCTCGTTTGTGTCTAACTCATGATTTGTGAGGTAAAAACTAAAGTGAGAATTGAATGTTTAAGATGTCTTTGCTGTAAATGCCAATAGAAAGTGCAAATTAGATGACTTTTGGATTTTATTTGAATGATGGAAACTCAATATTAGAAATCACTTTGTGAGTTAAATGTTTGGATTTACTTTTTTTGTACCTTCTCACAGCCCCAATTCACGACAATTCTCAATTGCTGCTGAATCCAGTGATATCTAAAAGTTTTAGTGTTGCTTTAGGGTGCTTAACCTTTCGGTTTTATTGGACTCCTATGAGAATATATGTTTGTTTTATATTTGTACGGCTGTACTGCTTCGATTCTAGCATAAGTGTTTTGTGCATAAATGCATGTTCTTCCCTGTTCATGAGTCATCAACTTCATTTATATCTCTGCACAGCTTCACTAACAGTTCTACTTTATTTAATTTAGCTTAGCCTCCTGATTCCTTGTTGGTTTTTAGTAGAAGATATTTCCTCCCTCAAATGTTCCCAGAAATTTGTTCTCCCATAAGGTATATCAGACTGAATTGGGGGTGCATCCTGTAGCCCCACCATATCATCATCCTTTAGCTCTGTGCTCATGTGCTGAGGATGACTGTATTCAGTGAATGGCAGTCTGGCTCACCCATGATTGCCTATAAAAAGTGAGAATCAATGCCTGTAATCCCAGCACTTTGGGAGGCTGAGGTGGGCAGATCGCTTGAGGTCAGGAGTTTGAGATCAGCCTAGCTAACATAGCGAAACCCTGTCTCTACCAAAAATACAAAAATTAGCTGGGTGTGGTGGCATGCACCTGTAATCCCAGCTACTTGGAAGACTGAGGCAGGAGAATGAACGGCTTGAAACCCAGGAGGCAGAGGTTGCAGTGAGCCGAGATTGCGCCACTGCACTCCAGCCTGGATGACAGAGGGGAAAACAAAAAAAAAAGAATTAGAATCAGAACAGATTTTCAAAAAGAATTAGCTGTCAGAAAGCAAGCAGGCCCTGCCCAGAATTCTAATAGAAGTTATTGATTATAACAATGACTTAAATATTGATAATGACAGTGATGTGACATTAAATGTAAAAAATAAAATATGAAAATATAAGATGTTGGGATGCTTCCAAGTCTCTGGTTTGTCACTTAGGTAAAATATCCAAGTCACAGTTTAAAAGAAAACTTTATATGTAGTTGTTTGGAGTTTAGTGAGCTAAGCTTGTTTTATCTGCTGTGATCATCAGTTTGCCAGGGCCCCTGTTGGGAAGATTCATCCTTACATCTCTTGGAGGTTGCAGTCACCTGGGGACAAGTTGCCTGGTGGAAGGAAGGTGATTCTTCTCTACCTTGACCAGCTTGCCAGACCCACTGGGTTCATACATACTCTCAAGGAGCCCCAGATAGAAAGACTTGGTTTTCTCACCCTCCAGTGAATGGACCTCAAGTTTATGGAGGGAATAGGATGATCCCTGGCCTACACTGACTAAGCCTGTCATCAAGAAATGAGCTTCCTCTAACAACCATGAGTCCATTTGGAACTTCTGTGTTAAAAGCCTTCAGTCCAAGTCAAATGTTGTCAGTGAGCTGTGTCCCTGGGGAGTTCTTTATGCCCTGCCTCTTGCTTGATCTTTTCCAGGTTGTTGAACCTCAGCCCTCTTTCTCTGGGTTTAATCTATTGCTGTTACTGCCTAGACAATTTTCTATCTTCTCATATCTGATCAACTGACTGTCTTGTCCCAAGTCCCTTCCTTCCTTCTACTAACCTCTAACACAACCTTAATGGAGGCCAACAAGCCCTTACCTAACTTCTGGACATTGCCAGCTGCTCTGCAGCCCCACGCCCATAACTGCAATTATTGCCTATCTCAACTATCTACCCCAGGCATGCACTACACAGGAAATCAGCTCACTAATCTGGTTGAGTTCCTGTGTGGAGCTGATAATGATGCTTTTGCATGCTTCTGCTCTGATTGTTTTGGCTAGGCCTAGTGGTTAATGTGGTTCTTTGAACATTTCTGCCTTAAAATATATAACAAAAGTAACGTTTAAGTATGAGTGCTCAAATTCATTATCTTAATAAAAGCTGAGCACTTGTTATGTGCCAGGCACTCTGCTATTATCTTGTTTAATCCTATCAATGATCATACAAAGAAAGACACTATTATTATCTCCATTTTACAGGTGATGAAAAAGAGACTTAAAGAGATAACTACCTTTTCTTGGGCCACCCATTGGGTTGGAGCTCCATATTTTATTCTTCCACTATATTACTTGAAAAGAAGGCTGCATTTAGACACGGTCAAGCAATCAGTTCATGCATTTCTAAGACTGCTTTACAATTTGGTAGTTACAAACAGTGAATGAAACAATATTTTTAAAACCCTCATTTGATTTTATAAATTGCTTCATTCAATGCTCCTTGATTAAAACCTCAAACCTCAGCTGTTCAATGCCAAATTAAAGAGCAACAGAAGGGAAGATAATATTAAGTTATGTTAGCAATTTGCATATTAAGTGCCCTTACACTGCAATGTATCATGTGGTAACAGAAAAATTTGTTTTAGAAATAGGAATTTTGAATAGCAACTGTTAGGGAATGGAGCTTGTGGATATCAAAATGATTTTTAAAAAGAGTAATCTTCTCTCCTTAAAAAATATTAGTTATTGCACAAAGGACAACAGTAGGAAATGCCCTGTGTATTTTTTATTAATCAATTTCATATCATAAAATATTTAACGCTTTTCGTTTCCAGCTCCCAGAGATCTGTAGCTTGTCTAATAGGATTATCATGGAAAGAAACTATAGCATGGTATTTTCTAAACTCCAAGATTGATGACCTTTTCAGAAATTATTAGCATGACCTTACAAATAAGTCCGGAAAAATCTTTGGGATTATTTAGAGACATTCTCAATCTCTTTTGGCTTAGAATTGTTTCCTCCTGCTTGGGCCTTGCTTTGCGGTCACGCCTCTCTCTCCCATTGGTTCCCATATTATTATGATCTGGCCTATAGGGGGCACTGTGGCTCATGGAATGAGGCGCTGCCTGGGTAGGAGGATGTGACTTACAATAGCAGCTCTGCCACTATTTCTATGTGTCCAAGATATATCATTTGAGAGGACATTCCTCATCTGAAACTGGAAATAATACCCACCTCAGAAATGGATTGGGATTGCTGTGAAGGTTAAACGGCACTACGCATGTAAACTACAGCACAGAACCTGGGACTCTGAAGGCTCTCACTAAATATTAGTTGATTTTGAATCTGCTCTTGAAAACGTTCAGTGAGTTTATTCAAAATGCTGTGGAAAAACTGTGGAGAGCAGAGATGGAATTTTTAACTTGACACTGATTGAGGGGCACAGTACTTGTTTGTGATTCCCCAAGTGAATCCATGAGAATCAACTCATGCCCCAGAATGAATATGAATATATATATTGGAACTGTACATTACGAAGGTAATAAATTAAGCATTTATTTTAGTGTTGCTCTTACTAAAGATTGATTTTCCAGTTCTGAAGATGAACTGAGTCCTTTTGCATCTAAATGGGTAGACCTTCTCTGAGAGACCACCCCCACACTCAGAGTAAAAGCAAGCATAGATCGCTCTCCTTCCTTCCAAGACCTGATGAATAAGGAACAGGCAGATTCTTAGGACACTGGGGAAAGCAGAATTAAGTGCCATTCCTGCAGCTGCCCAACTTCTACCAGCAGACCTTACTTCATTCCTAGTCAAGAGGAATTATAGTCCTGAGCAGGGTCAAAACCACCGATTTGGACCAGCTGAAGACTGTTACCTCAGGTGTGAAGTAACACCTGAGTGTTACTTCTGGCGTGAAGGCTGTGGGATGCTTAGGTTAACAGCACTGCTTAAGTGTCCCGGCATTTAGCAAGAGTGTCTGGATATTCAACAGCTAGCCAGATGACCCACCAAACCTTTCCAAATATACTTCTAAAAGTCAGTCTTACCCTTGCTGTTGAACGCGGCGTATTCACCAACATTCAAACTGCTTCATTATCCTCAAGCTTTATTGCCCTTTTCAGATTTACAACCTCCAGGCTTTAAATACATCAAGAAAACTCTGGTGACTAATTAGGGAGAAAGTCTTGTTACAAAGTCACACTTGGTTGGGGGAAAACTCAGCCCTGAAAGAGGATTTCTGGGACCCCTTCTAATACAATTTTGAGATATTTAAAACTATAGAGAATATGGGCCGGGTGTGGTGGCTCATGCCTGTAATCCCAGCACTTTGGGAGGCTGAAGTGGGCAGAACACCTGAGGTCAGGAGGTCGAGACCATCCTGACCAACATGGTGAAACCCTGTCTCTACTAAAAATACAAAAATTAGCTGAGCATGATGGTGTGCGCCTGTAATCCCAGCTACCTGGGAGGCTGAGGCAGGAGAATTGCTTGAACCCGGGAGGCAGAGCCTGCAAGTGAGCCGAGATTGTGCCACTGCACTCCAGCCTGGGTGACAGAGCAAGACTCCGTCTCAAAAACAACAACAACAACAACAAAAACAAAAAACAAACTATAGCGAATGTAAGCTTTGTGCTACTTAATAATTTAATAACCTAGATTTTCCAGGTCAGGGACAGGTTACAGTATTAAGCTCAGCTGTTATAAATTTAGGTCTCATGAATTCTAATGTTTTAGTACCCAAACATTATCTTTCATCCTTCCTTTCAGACCCCCAAATAGCACAAATTCTTTGTCTATTTGTTCCAAATTTTGGTTCTGAGAATATATTAACCATATATAAAAAGAGAAGACTTCTTAGTATTTACTTAGAAGTAGATACATTCCTCTTCTTTCAAACCAGAGCCTGAGAGAGTATTTCATTTTCCAAAGTTTTACAAATTATATAATATATAAACATATATGACAGTATGCATAAATCTATTTTTATATAAAATAGTATCTTTATACCACAAACATCCTCTCCCTTTTATGTCTCTAAATATTGGCTGATAATATAGATTCCTTTTCCCAAATTATCCTTTTAACATCATGGTTTGAGGGTAATTTTTCTTGATAGGTTTAAAAATAAACATGTTGTTCTGGTTTGGGGATTTAAAATTTTTTCAAAAGGACTGCTAATATTAAACATTGCGTGAGTTCAGAACGATATGCAAAATTGACAGTTAATTGATCACTGATTCATTCATCCATAGTAACATAATAAATCTTCCTTAGCAGTCTCTACACTTAATGACCTATGAGTATAGATGTGAAAATCTAGACATCAAGTATGTCACCTTTGATAAAGATAGTTGAGAAATAACTTGTTTTCTGTGTAGTTTACCTTAAGTCCACTCTTGGCATTTGTCCTCATATAAATTCTGTTTTTATTCTATGGCTTGGTGAGATAAATTGTTAGATCTCTAATTTAGACACAGAGTGCACCTACATAATAAATCCAGTTTTATTATTACAAATAAACATTCCAAAGCACAGAAAGACAAACATTGCATGTTCTCACCTATTTATGGAATCTAAAAATTCAAAACAATTGAACTAATGGGCAGAGAGAATAGAAGGATGGTTCCTAGAGCCTTGGAAAGGGAGTGGGAGCCTGGAGGGGGGCAACTGAGAATAGTTAACGTAATGGGTACACACAAAAAAAGAATGAATGAATAGGCATACTATTTGATAGCAGAACAGGGTGACTATAGTCAGTAATAACTTAATTGTACATTTTAAAATAACTATAAGAGTATAATTGAATTGTTTGTAACACAAGGATAAATGCTTGGATGGATACCCCATTCTCCGTGATTACTTAACGGATAATAATGTGATTATTTTACATTGCATACCTGTATCAAAACATCTCATGTACCCCATAAATATATGCACCTACTATATCTGCAAAAAAAAAAAACAAAAAACCAACATAACCAACATTCCACTCATTGAATGGGTATAAAAGACGCTTTAGGGTCGGAGGAGAAATTAGATGTAGTGAAACTGGAGAGTGATGTATCATTGTATTACATTTCTTCTGGAAAGCTCATTAGCCTAAGGGTCTTTTGTAAATGAGACATCTTTCGGGGTGGGGGATAATTATTCACATCCCTGGATTAGGTCTACATTCATTCACTCGTTCAACAACTATCTGAATGTCTACTGTGTGCCAGGCCTTTGCCAAGCACTGGGGATACAATGATCACCAAAAGAAAACAACCTATGCCCTTGCAGAATTTACAAATTCCTCAGTCATGGTTGTCAATTCTTGTAACAGAGCTGTTGATAACATAGGCAATGATAACTATTAATTGATTAATTGTATAGAAGGTTTAGGTGCTACTATTAAGAAAAATCTTACTGCTGAAACATCTTCTAGAGCAGAATTTCTCTGAATGTGGTACCTGAAATATTACTTTTACAGGACGTTGGTAAATGTTAACTGGAAGAGAGGTAAAATGAGTCAATTTATTTACTTTACGACTTCTTCGAGCCTTTTTAAGTTTCTACACATTTTGATTCTGCAGGAAGGCTGTATTTTTTTCACACTTTCTATGCTTCTTTGAGCATGAAACCTGAAATGAGTCACATCTTACTGGGCTTAATGGATCCATGGAACACACTTTGAGAAACATTATCTTAGAGTTACTAGTTGTTAAAGGAAAATTCCAAGAACTCGAATTTTCCTCTAAGTGGCTCAATAATGCAATTAATGAGTTGAACAATGCATTTAGCAAAACTTCCAATGAAAGTTTTATATACATGTCCTTTTTATAGGCCTCTATCTATAGAGCTGTATTATGCAAATGAAAATTTTATTAAGTTCACAGATAAAACTTGTTGCATTAACTGGCTCGTAGGGTTTACATAAAAAACAAATCTAATCAACAAAACAATAGTACTGGAAGATGGAGTTTTAGAAAGTCAATAAATAACTCATTTTCCTTTCTTGATTTAGAAACTTATTTTCAGAAATAAGAGATTTAGGCAGAGGGAGATCAAAATCTCAACTTTATTTCCGGTCAAAGCTGGATTGGAGGGTGTAACTCTGACTGTGGCAACATTTGACATCTTACTATTGAACTTTGAAATGAGAGAAACTTACCAGTCTCACCCACAGGGCAAGCCAGTGTGAATCCTGTGCAGGGAGCTGGATCCCACACAGAGACAGAGGAAGGGTGATCCTGAGCTGTAGATGCCCAGTTCCTTTGCCTAATCCTCCAATCAGTGTAGCTCTTTCCACCTTTGTAGAGAGGAGAAAAGGATGGAAATCAGAGGCTAGGAGTCTTTAGGAAAATGCTTTCTTATGGAAGCCTGAGAAAATAAGAAGGGGGTGCCCAACACTGGATACTTCAGGAAGCAAAAATTGGGCTTTTTAAAAAAAATCATTTTAAGAATCACAAATACTTTTTAGTCAGTTTGATTTTTATATGATTTTTTATATAGTAATATATTAATTAGAGTTTTCCAAATAATAATTACTTTTGGAACTTTTTATAAAAATGCATATTCCAGAACCACAACAGATCTATCATGTCAGAATATCTGAGAAGCAGCCTGGGACTTTTATTTTTATTTTTATTTTTTTGAGACAGAGTCTCACTCTGTTGCCCAGGCTGGAGTGCAGTGGTGCGATCTCAGCTCACTGCAATCTCTGCCTCCTGGGTTCAAGTGATTCTTCTGCCTCGGCCTTCTGAGAAGCTGGGATTACAGGTGCCCACTACACGCCTGGCTAATTTTTGTATTTTTAGTGGAGATGGGGTTTCACCATCTTGGCCAGGCTGGTCTTGAACTCCTGACCTCTTGATCCACCCGCCTTGGCCTCCCAAAGTGCTGGGATTACAGGGACTTTTAAATTTTTAAAAATTCCCCAGATAATCTTCATCATTGTTAAAGTGTAGAAAATACTAAACTGTAGAAATTGACCAAAAATATCTGCTTTATTTAGGAAACTGAAGTGGATCAGAACATTTAGATGATCAATTTTTTTTCTCAATTTTTTTTTGGATATTTTAGCCTTTGGAATAAAATATTCCAAATTTTATTTGGATATTTTTCTCAATTTTTATTTGGATATTTAGCATAAATTTATTTGGATAAAAATTTATCCAAATAAATTTTTATTTGGATATTTTATTTGGATATTTTAGCATTCTCAATTTTTATTTGGATATTTTAGATACGCGGTGAGAAGCTGGTGAGGCAATATTTTCCTGATGAGATGCCAGAACAATCACCATTGCTTTAATAGAATTTGTTCAGTGGCACTGGTTGTGTGGAAAATTGTTTTCTCCTCAGATTTATGGTTTTTTCTCAAAAATATGACAGAATACTGTGCTCTTAAAGGAAAGCTGCTTTTGTTTGATCCATTTGGCCTTAAGGGAGGGAATACATTTAATAAGCACTAATTAGATTAGTTTCAAGTTATTCTTCACTTGGGCTATAAGAATTGTTTAGTTGGCATGAAAGGGGATTAGATAATTTATTAACTGGCATAAATGACAATTATGGCTGAAAATCATAAATTATGGCATATGACTAAATAGAAAGAGAAAAATATGTTGCAAAGAATGATCATGGACATTGCTCATTTAAACATTCTTTAAAAGAATATGTGTACTATGAATTACCAGTTAGGTGTGCAGATTAGTAATAATATAGCTAATTTTCTATTTTTACTTTATTCAGAACTGAAAAACATCTAAAAATAGTGAGTTAAAGAACGTTTTTCTTTAACCAACACTTGAAAATATACTCCAATCGTTTCAGAGATAGTAAGATGTTTTTATGTTTATATAACTTTTTAATTTTGTTACATAAACTGTTGTTAGAAGTTGAAGATGGTTTCCTTAATTTTTATTTTGCAATCTTTATGGATTGAATTAAAAAATAATTTTTGGACATGCTAAATATTCTGAGAGGTGTTTAGAAGTAGATTCTATATCCTTAGAGAGCCTCTAGTTCCCACAGCAGCTTCTCCAGGGAAAAGCCCTTCTTCACTATATTCACCACAAATTAATGGCAGTTATTCATTTTTTAAAGCAGTACCAGAAGCTGATCTTAGCTTAAAGGGGAGGCTTCATCTCACATATGAGCAGCAAATTGATTTTCTCTTCATGGCACTGTATCGATAGGGTTAAGTATTTTGATAGAAGACCATGCTATTTAATATAAGTAGATTTTCAAGAAAATCACTATGCTAAATACTTCACTAGAAGGACTTTATCTATATACAGCAGCAACTGTGACCTGCTTTAGAGATGACATCATTGGGTGTCATGTGGCTCTTTATACGTTTCAGCCTCAGAAAGAGATAATCTGTGAAAGCCACAGAGCCTGATTTCTGCTGTGATAATCTTCAGCAGACCGAGGCTGGGGCGAGAATGAGGCAGACCTGTTTACATGGTGTGTGCAGTGCCTTGTGGAATTCTTAACTCTATTTTATTGTATTATTTTTAATCGAAAAGTAGATCAGATGATAGCATGAAGTGAATCGGCTGCTTTGGACTAATGGGATCTTCTTTTCTGCATTAAGATCAAGAACTTTTCTGGAATCCTCTGTTCTCCGAGTAGCCTTGTCTTCTCTGTGTGTTTTATCAATTTGAAGAACACTGGCAAAAATCAGCAAACTTCATCTCCCAAAAAGCTCTCGCTCTTTTTTGCCAATACTTGAAGATTTCTGCTCCAAAATCTACTTTGAGCTGCTTGAGCATGGTGGTTGATAACCGAAGGGCAAAAGCATCACTTATTTAGTGTGTGTTATAGAAATTTTTTAGACAACCTTACTAGCTAACCCAGGTGACCCTTTACGGATTTCTTTCAAAGCCAATTTGAATAAACAACTCTTCCCTCTCAAATGGGCAAGAGTAACTCTTCAGCACCATGGAGAGGTCCGGGCAGCGTGTTACAACGTGGGACTGTGACCAGGGCAAGCACTCTGACAGTGTAAGTTTTACAAATGTCTACCATCTATTTTAGGTGTATCATATTTTTACAAATGAAGAGAGAAAACTTCAAAGTCGAACTAAGTAACTTTAAATTTAAGCTGATGGCCTTCATTACATTTTTAAATTCAGAATTAAGCATTTAAGGTATATTGGAATGTTCATTTGAAAAAAATACTTTCTCATTGCATAGTTAGTATGTGGATATTTGGTGCTTTGAATTTTGAGAATCTAAGTTTGAGTGTTCTTTTTTGTAGTGCACCAAAACTAATTGCATTGCAGTGGACTTTGGAAATAGCATTTTAATATACACATGTAAATAGTTCCAAATGTACAATCTGTTGCCCTTTGTATGCACAAGACTCTCTTTGGAAAGTAGTTCCTGATTTGTACAGTTTGGGAAGATCAGTGTTAAACTTTTTCAATTTAGATTATACTTTCAGTTACCAAAAGAACAAATGTCTAGGTATTCTAATGTCAATACATGGGAGATATTTGATGACTTAAAAAATCTCAAATTTATTGGTATGAAATGTATAGAGTGGCAGCTTATTATAAGTAGAAATAACAGACAATTTTATAAAATTATATATGGGCTATTGAAATAGTACTTTTAGCATTATTGAAAATAATTAGTTTCAAAATGTTCAATTTAAATCTTCAAACCAGAAATAAAAAAAATGGTTTCTTCAAAAACATCTTTTAACTCCATCTTTTAGACTATCAAATTTGTAGTTCTATGATATTATTATATGACACAACCAACGAAGAAATAATACTTTGAATTACTACCCAGAATGACCCCAACAGATATTTTGATTAGCTATTCAAATTTTTTTCTAAGAGAACATATTGTCATTAAAAAGTAACTTTAACAAATCATGATTCTTTTCTCAGGCCAATTAAACTTAGTTTGGAACATTTATTTATGCAGAATCATTTATTTTAAAGCCTAATAAAATATATTTTTATATAATTGTATTATAAAATTTATTTCCTTTAGTAGTTTTCTTCATATTTAAAAACCAGTAGTAAATGCAATTTACTCAGCTTGACCTCCAATTCAAATATAATGGATTCTTTCTGTTATGGATAATTTCCAAGTGAATTACTGTTGCTTCTTAACTCTTCAGTAATTTGGCATTTGATTTTGGGATAAATGGTACTTACATTTTGACAGTGTATGAAGTGCATAATTTTAGAGGATGTAACAATTTTATATAAAGGAGACCTTAGTATACATTTTTGTCATCTTTGCTCAATAGATCCACTGATAATTTCCATAATTGATGTCAGTATTTAAAAGGCCTCAGTTTTTGAAAAGAATGAAAGGTAGATTTATGATTTCAGTTTTTTTAAGTTTCATTTCCCAAAATTTTATTATTCTGCTTTGGTTTAATAGGTAAGTAGGACTTTTCACACACCATTGCATGTACCTCTGTGATTTTAAACTTAAATTGTTCCCTTATGGCAAACTGTATCCATTTGCAGCCCCTGATGAACTTTGAACAAATCATTCTGGTTTATTAAATTGTACATTCTAATCCAGAAGAATCCAAGACTCATGTCATAAAACGCATCTGCTTGCTGTGAAATGGTGTCAGATTTTATTCTGATTCAGAAATTTATTTGATCTTTGTCTCTGTCTCTCTGAAGGATGTGACTCATTTGTGATATTGTCAGAAGTGTAACTTTTATATTTGCTGCTTTTTTTCCAAACATTTTAGTGATATATTTATAACTATTATCCAGCACACACATTTTTCTGTAGTTGAGATATTGTTGTCTATGTATTTATTTAAGCAGAAATTGTTGCTGTATGACAAACTACAAGCACATGTTTGCTTCTGTTTTGATAGCCTTTCAATCATTATTGAAACAGTCACCTGAACAGTAGAAAAATGTTCAGAGCTAAACTGTTAGATATTCACATTTCTTTTTCTTTCTTTCTTTTCTTTTTTAAATAACATTCTGGTGGTAGCAGATGTATGTGAACAATCTTAAATTTAGTTGAGTGACATTTTGCTTTTCTTGCCAATGTAAAAATATGCTCCCAGATCTCTTTACTGTGGTCCACCCACCCTTGCAAGGGATTTATAACCTTTGGCTACAAAGAATGTAGGGGCATATTTATTTATGAAAGCCACCCTAGTTAGGATGCTTTGCAGGGTGGCTGAATATAGAGGCAGCTAATTGGCGGGTGTGGTTTTTACTGCTGATTTTAACCCTTTTGGCACTAAGAAAGATTAGTTCATCTTGGAAATAGTTCTTACATCCAAGGTATTCAGTCTCATCTCTGTTGCATCAGTCTCCATCACATATTCCTGTAGAAGCAACTCCCCTAGCTACAGTCCCAACAGGAGAAGTTCCAGTAGGGAAGAGCCTGAAACTGAAATGTGTTGCAAGAAGGTCCTAAATGGTAGCTTCTTAGAGGGACATAGGGATCCTTGGGGTTATTTCAGTGAGCAGGATGCTGATTGATTCCAAATGGGTTCTAGGCTTGTTTAGTATGTCTCTAACACTACAAGGGGCACAGTGGACATTAGAGGCTCAAGAGAGGTACCCTAGCATCCCAGAGAATCACTATAGATTGATGATTCATCATAAAACTTTCTATCAAGTGATTTTTGTCCTCAGTTACTACATTTTACTGTTATTCCTTTCTCTGTCCCAATTTTATTTGCAAGGTACATTCCTACTTTGTATTACATGATGGACCTAACTAGGTATGACCTGACTGATTTGAGATTTACATTAAATATTACTAGAAATGATGGAGTAATCTTACCTTTTCCAGAGAATAGAAAAGAGCTTAGGGACTTTTCATGCAAGATATACACATTGCTGAAAGTCCAGGAATATTATCCAAATAGAAATGTCTGGATATGATGCTTTTCTCACTTTGACTAATTTTTCAAATTCCAGTCCCTCTAAATGGATTTTACTCTCCCCCATAAGTAAACTTAAGTTGCAGCATGTAAAGAACAAGTACACATCCAGGCAGCCAGTCCTAGGGACGAAGTCAGCCCACTTCCATCTTGCCTAATTTGTCCTGTAATTCTGACTCTCATCTTGGATTTTTCACACCATCTCATCTACACTTTTGGAGTTGACTCACTACATCACACAGTGCCTGATTCCATTAATAAGACCCATCTTGATGCAATACACATTTTGAATCCAACATTCTGGATTGACCTCAGTAGCATGCTTCTCTGGAATGCTGTTTTAGTGCTCGATCTCTGACTCCTGTGCACCACAATGGCAGGAAAAAAAAACCCCACTTCTCCACCGGTTTCATTTTGTGTGCTTTGAAACTGATGGAACTGTACTGTGTAGAATACAATGTTGGTATAGAAAGCATGTACATTGATTACCCATGATATAGTAAATATCTATTTTTAAAAGCAGTCAAAGACAGACTCAGCCTAATGATGTGACAGTAGATATAAAAGAATATAAAGCTTCAGTGCCTTAGTGCAATTCATACAAATTTGCTTATGTTTCATTTTTGTTAAGATTCCTGGAAATATAAATACAAGCATTGTATCTGGACTTTAGTATGGCTTGGAAGAATTTTTTCTGATGTCTTGGTGGAGAAGATAAAGACCTGTGAATGGAATAATAATTTGGAGCTAGAAACCAATTTACTGACCCCTGGGCAAGGGAATTTCTATCAGAATATGTGACTAGTAAGGGACCTCAACACTGAGCAATCAGTGGAAGATTTATGGAGAAATTAAAAAATAATATTTACAGGCTGGTGCAGTGGCTCACGACTGTAACCCCAGCACTTTGGGAGGCTGAGGTGGGTGGATCACCTGAGGTCAGGAGTTCGAGACCAGCCTGGGCAAAGTGATGAAACCCTGTCTACTAAAAATACAAAAATTAGTGGGGCATGGTGGCAGGTGCCTGTAATCCCAGCTACAGACTGAAGCAGGCGAATCACTTGAACCCACTGGGTGGAGGTTGCAATGAGTCGAGATCATACCATTGCACTCCAGCCTGGACAACGAGCAAAACTCCGTCTCAAAAGAAAAAAAAAAAAGGATGGAGCTATTTTTCAACGGTATAGGAATAAAGCATTGAGCTTCTCATCACCAGAAAGATGAGTCACACTGGATGACCCACATAAAAGATGCTATAGAAGGGGACTCCCTAATGGTGTGTGTGCATGTGTAGCAGAAGGGCTATGTGATCTCTAAGGTCTTTTCCAACTTAGACATGGATAAGGGTCATCAGTGCAGTGTCATCTCATTTAAAAAAGAAAGCAATAATTTCTTCATTCAACAAATATGTACTGGGTACATACTCTTGTGATTACAAGAACTGAGATGATTAATCCTCCCTGAGCTCCTTGAGAAACCACCCACTTGAAAAGGAGTAAGGGGAAAACTGGGAAATAAAACCCCAGGTAGGTTTTATTTTAAACCTCAGGAGTTGGGAAAAACCCAGGAGGGAGAGTAAGATGCATCACTTGGATCTATTTGAGAAGGGAAAACTAGGTTAAAGGAGAAAAAAGCAGAACTGGAGTTATAATTTATCTTTTCATTATCTCTAGCATAGAGATACTACAATGCATAAAAAAGAAATGAAAAATTTAGAATTCATTGATCACTAATCAATTCTATGATTCTATTTAGGACTGTCAAATCTCTAATGAGCTTTTTTGCTCTTTCGCCTGTATCCTTTCAATCTGTATAGCTATAGCTGCATCATATACCTTTAAAGATTCTGTTCCAATTGTCATCTATTCTTTTATAAATTGGGAGAAATCCTGAAGCTGTAGACCATCAATTCAAGGGGTCAATATCAAGTCAGCATAGATACTGGCCCTGCTCTGAATTTGAATCTTTGCTTGATTAATTTATCATACATGGTGAATCTAGGCTATGCTGTAACGAAGGGATCCCCAAAAGTATAATAGCTCACAAACAGCAGTTTTTTTCCTGTTTAGGCATCAGTACTGAAAGGGGAAGCAATACAGTGGGGTGACCCTTCTTCATATAGTCATTCAGAGAACCCAGGATGGTGGGAGCTATGCCATCTTCAACACATGGCTCTCAAGACCACCTTACAGTTGTCTCCCTTCTAGCAAAATAGAAAGGAAAAAGGGCACATGTGGGAGGTTCTAGTGGGCCCATTCTGAAAGAGGCACACATCACTCAACTCACATTCTTTTGACTGAACCCAGTCACATGCTGATATGGTTTGGCTGTGTCCCCACCCAAATCTCACCTTGAATTGTAGCTCCCATAATCCCCATGTGTCATGAGAGGACCCAATGGAGGGTAATTGAATCATGGGAGCAGGTTTTTCCTGTGCTGTTCTCATGATAGTGAGCAAGTCTCATGAGATCTGATGGTTTTATAAAGGGCAGTTCCCCTGCACACACGCTCTTGCCTGCTGCCATGTAAGGTGTGCCTTTGCTCCTCCTTCACCTTCTGCCATGATTGTGAGGCCTCCCCAGCCATGTGAAACTGTGAGTTCATGAAACCTCTTTTTCTTTATAAATTACCCAGTCTCGGATATTTCTTCATAGCAGTATGAAAATGGACTAATACACATGCCATACCTAACTGCAAGGGAGGCTGAGAAATATCCTACAGGTTACATAGAAATAAGAAAATAAAATAGATTTTAGAGCACTTAGTACTTTCTGCCATACCTGGACTTCTGTTCTACTGTGGGAAGACTTCTTCCTCCAAACCCACAGTTCCTGTTGCTGTAAACCTGGTATAGCCTGCTAGATCTGCTTGATGTTAATTTTACTGCAGCCTTGACCATTGCTAATTTCAGTCTTCAGGTTGCAAACTATAGAACTTGACCCTAGGTAATTTAAGCTGAAAAATAATTTATTAGAAACACAACAGATAACTCACTAAATTGACAGGAAGGCTAGAGAATCAGGCTCAGAAAAAGGGAACTAAAGGAAGTTGGTTGGCCAGAAACCCATGGAAAGGCACACACAAGAGGCAACATTATTGGAATGCTGTTGGCCTCAGTACATTGGATGCAATGGTTACACAGTTCAAAAATACCCCTCACTTTTCTGAGACACTTCTTCCAGATCCAAAGTCCTGAACTGGGCCATGCCATTGACTGGTTTAGATCATGCATTCAGGCCTGATTGCTAGAATTCAGGGAAGGGAATTTCTTCTATAATGGGGGGTAGAGTCCTGGTGCTTACTGTAATATGCATAGCAGTGTATTCTGTAATTATGAGAGGGTCTCAGATAAACTAAAAAAGAAAAGCCAAACTCCAGTGTCCCTGATGTTGTAAAATGCCCCTGATGTCACATTAGATCTTCTGATGACCATGGTGATTCTTGTTGACTCCAGTTGGCCACATGCCTAGACTATGCTTTATTGCTATGCCTAGACTATGCCTTGTTGCCCCTCCTGGAATGTGTGTTTCCACCACTTTCACTGGTTTATTATACTAGCCTGCCTAGTAATCTCTATGAATCTTTCTCTGGCCCTTTTTGATGCTAGCTGAGCTTTTCAGGTCCTTTCCTAGAACACTTGGCCTTGTTTGGAGAATTTAATCTAGACCTGGGACCTATGTGATAAGTTGCAGGGCCATCGCTCAGACATTTGACTCATCTCCTGGAGGGTTTTCTCATCTGTAAAATGAATAAGTCGGCTCAATTCCCGTTAGTCTCAAAGGGACACGAAAGCTTAACAAGATCGTGCTTCGAGATATTTGGAACACAGGGTGGCATTATCACATTATTATTTTCACAAGCTGTTAACCTGAAGGGGGAAAATAAAGAGTGGAAATTTAATGCCAGAGAGGTTTTGGCACTTTGTCAATTCAACATTAGCTTTGAGGGCTTTTGGAATTTTGCCTGAAATTTTCAACACCAAGTGGCTAAAAGCTGTGTTTTTCTGGGCTTGTGATATTCCTGTCCCCAGGGATGGCATTAAGCACTTGCGAAGGATGAACTGTGCCAGGCCTATCTTCCAGTGTCCCACAAACAGACAAAAAAGCAATGCACACTCTAAATTGCTGTGCAAACCCACATTTTCTACTTGGAACAGCACCTCTGACTTGTGCCAGTAGAAAAGGGATGATGGGAAGGGAGTAATCCACGATTGCATGTGTTAAATACATTCCCTATGTGACATGTGGGGCAATCGTGGCTGTGGAGGCTTCTGTTTGGGTGCTTGGATGGACCCTACTGAAGATCACAGGACCTTTATAGGTCTTTCACAATCTCCCACATCAGTCTTTTTTGAAAGAGAGCTATTGCTTATGCAAAAGTCGCCCTTGCCAACTAAACCAAAGACTGGGCTAATTAGAAGCTAGGAAAAAGAAATACATCCTCTTGGAACTTCATTTTGGGATTTTGGAAGGAAGAGAAAGGCAGGAAGACCTGCTAGAATCTGGGGAAACATTTATTCATTCCCTGTAATTAATGTTTAAGCTATGTGATCATAATTACACCGAAATATTCTAAGTGGTTTACTTTATTTGGACAAGAATTATTTTCAAATACATAGGATTCCACATATGCGCCTAAAACACATATGCACATATATTTAAAAAATAATATGCTTTATATATTAAAAGATGATAAATTTTCAGTGTCAAGAGCTAAAAAGTATAGTTTTGAATGAATGTGCTTACACTTCTTAATGTATGTACATTTTGTATTTTCATGAAGACCTACAAATCTGTGCTGTGTCAGTGGAAGAAGGGAGCTATTTACATTTTAGAGCAAAGTACAGTGATCACTAATTTATCAAAAACTGACAGGAAATGAGGCTTCTGTATAAATGAAATCTATCAATAATGGACGGTTACTTTTTTTTCAGTCAACACATTTTGAATGGCATTGTTTCTAAACTACATTGTAATATTCTCTGTCTCATTTTATAGCAATGCCTATTCATTTATCGTTGTAATGTGTATATTCATTTTAGAAAATATGAAATGTTAAAAAATATATCTCACCATTAATCCAACAAAGACCCCTATTGTTAACATTTCAGTGAATTTCCTTGGAGATTCCGAAATGTGTATACACTAGGTATTAGTATGAATATATATAAATATAGCTCTTAAACATATTTTCAACATTTTTCACTGTGCTTTTAAAAACTTAATATTTTAATTTCTGTGTCATTAAAATTTCTTAAAGTTTTATGGTACAGTGTGAATGAGTAATATGAAATCACATAGACATATAATTTATTGAACTATGCCACTATAGTTATCAATGTCAACATTGAGTGTTCATATATTTTCATATTTTTGTTTCCTTACAAGAGATTACTGTAAGTATAATAAAAATTTATATAACATTTTTAAGGATATTGATATATATTGTTACATCCCTAGAACTGTTGTGCTAGTTCTGTTAATTTAATAGATTGAAAGTGGCCTGTGTTTAAAACCTGAATTTCTTTTTTAGTTGTTGAGGCTTAACATTTTCACATTTTGTGGCCATGTTGACTTATTCTGTGAATTGTCTATTGTTTCACTGAGATTTTATGTGTTAAATATTACGTATATATTATTAAGCTTTTGCATTCGTATATGTGAGATATATTTTCCTAGATTGCATATTTCAATCTTTAGAATTTTAAATTTTTTTTTGGAAATAAAACCTACTTAGTATCCCATTCACCTATATATTTTTGTGTTTTTTGAAAACTGGTTTCAACTTTATCATTTGTCTTAAGTTCATTGAAATTTTGGTGTATGGCATAATGAGAAATAATAGTCTTATTTTATTCCAAGTAGTTAACCCTTTACCTGAGCACCATTTACTGAGTCCTTTGTTCTCTACTAGTTTGTAGTAGTTCGTAGCAGAGAACAAAGGACTCAGTAAATGGTGCTCAGGAATCTTTACCATATGTTAAAAATAAATCCATTAGAATCTGTTTCTGAACTACCTTCATGAATAGACATGGTTTCACATGTCTATTCTAGTACCTATATTTTACTGTCTTAAATATTACATTTATATGATGAATTTTAATATCTAGCAGGGAATTCTCCACTTCATATATTTTCATGTTCTTGGATGGTCAGACTCATTCCAGATAAACTCTACAATTGTATAGTTAAGAAATTATTTAGAGACTTTAATAGCAATTGCATCAAATCTGTAAACTAATATAAGAACTGATACCTTTGCAAATTTGTTCTTACCATCTAGGAACGCTGTGTAGATAAATAAATATTGATAAGGACCTAAATATGCATAAGAACACGAATAGATATAGATATCAGGAAAGATTTGAAATTTCATATGTTTTATATTTTTTATTTTTTTTGAGACGGAGTCTCACTCTGTCGCTCAGGCTGGAATGCAGTGGTATGATCTCAGCTCACTGCAACCTCCGCCTCCTGGGTTCAAGTGATTCTCCTGCCTCAGCTTCCCGAGTAGCTGGGATTACAGGCCCATGCCACCATGCCCGGCTAATTTTTGTATTCTCAGTAGAGACGAGGTTTCACCATGTTGGCCAGGCTGGTCTCGAACTCCTGACCTCAGGTGATCCGCCGCCCGCCTTGGCCTCCCAAACTGCTGGGATTACAGGCGTGAACCATCATGCCCGGCATATTTTTTACTTTACTTACTATGATTGTTCCTATGTACATGGATTATGGATTATTTCCTTTTTTTTTTTTTGAGACGGAGTTTCGCTCTTGTTGCTCAGGCTGGAGTGCAATGGCGCGCGATCTTGGCGTGAGCCACCGCGCCTGGCTATTTCCTTCCTTTTGTTCCACCTCTAATTGGTTATTACTATAATATAGGAAGCGATGGCTTTTTGTTGTATTGATTTGTATCTTTTCAATTTATTAAAATCTCTTAATAGTACTTCAGAATTTTTTTAGTGGATTCTTTCGAGGTTGTTAACCATGTAATTTTCTCAACTGCAAATAATACTAAATTGCCTCTTCCTTTCCAAAAGTCTTATTGTATTGATTAGAAAATTCAACCTAAGCAAAATAGGTTGTCTTATTATCCATAGTTGATGCGATGAGTTATGGTCTGTTCTTGCATTGTGGTATTGCTGTTTGGTTTTAACGGGTAGTTCTTTATATGTTGCTTTTTATTTCTATTTTATGGTATGTTGTTTAAGTTTTTACATCTCTGCTTAAAAACGAAATTCACCTGTAGTTTGTATTTCTTTCAAGTTTGAATCAGGGCTGTGCAAGCTTCGTAAAATGAAAAGCTTCCTAGATTTTCCTTTGGTCTCTAATTTCATATAGCATGGTAATTACATGTTCCTTGAAAGTTTGAAAAAAATTCTTGATAAAACCGTACAGCCACAATGTCTTTTCTTATAAATACTTTAAAATAACATTTTCATTTCTTCCATGGTTATTAGATATTCAGGTTTTCTACAATATCATAAGTAAATTCTGCTACTTACTTTCCAAGATATATAAGTGAATATCTTGAGATTAACTATCATATTATTTTGTTTAAAATTTCTCTCTGCATACTCCTTTATTACTTTTAATATTTATAATTTTGTTAATTGAAATTTTATAAGAATCAGCTATTGTGTTAATCAATTCTGTATTTTCTAATTAATACACTTTGATATTTTAATGTAATATTTAGTTTGCCTGTTAACTTTAGGTGTTTTGTTTTGTTTTTTTGAGATGGAGTCTCACTCTGTTACTCAGAATGGAGTGCAGTGGTGTAATCTCAGCTCAGGGCAACCTCTGCTTCCCGGGTTAAAACGATTCTCCTGCCTCAGCCTTCTGAGTAGCTGGGATTACAGGTGTACGCCACCACACTCGGCTAATTTTTGTATTTTTTTTTCTTTAGTAGAGATTGGGTTTCATCATGTTGGCCAGGCTAGTCTCGAACTTGTGACCTCAGATGATCTGCTTGCCTCGGCCTCCCAAAGTGTTGGGATTACAGGCTTGAGCCACCACGCCTGGCCAACTTTAGGTGTATTTTTGTTGTTCCATTTATTTTTTCTTCAGTTTAATGCATAGTTAATTTATTTGTTTTGATGAATTAATATTTTAACAACAAAGTTAAGGTTTTGAATTTGTTCTAATTCAGTTGTGTTCTCGATCTAATAAGCAGTATCCTCATTTTCTTTATATTGTAAAGATTTTGTAATTACATATTTTTTCCTATAACTCAACTATTATAGAAACATTTAAAATTTTTGTTTAATGACAATTCTAAAAATGTTAAATATTAAGACAATAATTTCTTATTTTGTTAAATTGAAGCCATCAAAGATGGCCTTTACAATTTTTACTTTGGGGTATTTGTGTAGGGATCGTTTTTTAGTTTCATATAGAAATATAATCCTACATTCTACTGATACTTGAAAAGAGTTTCTGATCTTTCTTTTTAAGGTACAAAGAGTTCTTATGTTAACTAATTAATCAAATATTCACATTCTTGATTCCTACTTTATTTTTTGTTTCCGTGATAGATAACAGGGATTCCCTGATAGATAACAAATAGATAGATATCTATTTGCTAATAGATAACAGATAACTGATAGATAAGTTACAAAACTTATTCTCAACATTTCTGAGTTATTTTATTTTAACTGATCATTTCATAAGCAGTATGTAGCTGAATTTTGTTTTAAACATAAACACAAGTTGTTTTCACTAATCAAGAGCTCATTTTAATAACATAAGAACAAGCTATTATTAAGTTTGATCTTCTTTTGCCTTGTTTTTGTTTTGTGTTTCTCATATTTCATTGCTTTTTTTGTTTCTCATATCAATTATATTTTATTTTATTTATTGTCTCAAATAAATTGGAATAGAAACATTCAATTTTTATTCTGTTGGTAGTTAATTACAGATGTGTAATAATAATACATGTATCTAGTTTTAATAATAAAAACTAAAATTTCATGTTAATTTATCCTTCTGCAATATTTTAAGTGAATATTCACTCATTCAATAAACATTTGTTGAGGACCTACTCCTTGCTGGGCATTGACCTAGCATTGGGAGTACAATAGAAACCAGGATAGAGGCATTTCCTATTCTCTTTAGTTTCTCCCCTATCTCATTATTCTCCTTTTCACTTCTCAGTTTGTTGTTTCTATATCTCTTTTATTTATATTTAAAACTTATCTTTCAAGAACTATTTTTTGACATATGCATTGTTTTGTGATCTTTTAACAACAGTTAATTAGATTTAGTGTATATTTTATTCATTGTGTTTATTCATGTATTTTTTACTTTTATTTTAAATTCAGGGGTAAATGTGCAGGTTTGTTGTAATATAGGTAAATTCCATGTCATGGGGGTTTGGTGTATAAACTATTTTGCCACCCAGGTAATAAGCGTAGTACCTGATAATTTAGTTTTTTGATGCTCATCCTCCTTCCTCCCTCCAGCTTCAAGTAGGCCCTGGTGTCTGTTGTTCCTTTCTTTGTGTCCATGTGTTCTCATCATTTAGCTCCCACTTATAAGTGAGAACATGTGGTATATGGTTGTCTGTTCCTGTGTTACTTCACTTAGGATAATGGCCTCTAGCTGCATCCAGGTTGCTGCAAAAGACATGATTTCATTCTTTTTGTGGCTGTTTAGTATTCCATGGTGTATATATACCACATTTTCTTTATCCAGTCTACTATTGACAGGCATTTAGGTTGACTCTGTGTTTTTGCTGTTGTGAATAGCACTGCGATTAGCATACATGAGCATGTGTCTTTATGGCAGAATGATTTATATTCCTTTGAGTATATACCTAATAATAGGATTGTTGGGTAGAATGATAATTCTGCTTCGAGTTCTTTGAGAAATGGCCAAACTGCTTTCCATAGTGGCTGAACTAATGTACATTTCTACCAGCAGTGTGTAAGTGTTCCCTTTTCTCTGCAATCTTACCAGCACCTGTTATTTTTTGACTTTTTAATAATGATCATTCAGACTGGTATGAGATGGTATCTTATTGTGGTTTTGATTTACATTGCTCTAATGATTAGTGATGCAGCATTTTTTCATATGCTTGTTGGCCACATGTATGTCTTCTTTTGAAAAGTGTCTGTTCATGTCCTTTGCCCACTTTTTAATGGGGTTGTTTTCTGCATGATGGTTTGTTTAAGTTCTTTATAGATTCTGGATATTAGACCTTTGTTGGATGCACACTTTGCAGATATTTTCTCCCATTCTGTAGGTTGTCTGTTTACTCTGGTGATAGTTTCTTTTACTGTGCCGAAGCTCTTTAGTTTAGTTAGGTCTCATTTGTCAATTTTTGTTTTTGTTGGAATTGCTCTTGGCATCTTTGTCATGAAATTTTTGCCAGGTCCTATGTTCAGAATGATATCTCCTAGGTTATCTTCCCTTGTTTTAATAGTTTTAAGTTTTATACTTAAGTCTTTAATCCATTTTGAATTGATTCTTATATATAGTATAAGGATTTTTAACTATTGTTTATACTATACTTTTTCTATTCTTATATTTATTTTTATTTTATTTCACTTTTTGAGACAGACAAAAAATCTTTATATACTTGAATATCAGATAATGTGTTTTTGGGGCACTTGTGCATGAATTTTAGCTGGGCTGGGTATAAAACTGTTGACTCTTCATGATTCATTGAAATATTCCATAATTATTGCTTTATTATCTTTTAGTAATTTGTGTTGAAGAAAATTTTAATGAATATATAGTTTTTATTTTTATATTATTATTGGAGAATAAACCGCATTCTATTTTAAATTACTGTCTAGCACAAGATAATTATAATAGCTAAAATTTATACCGCATTGCTATATGCTAAGCGTTCGTCTAAGTATTTTACATATGCTAACTCCTTTAAGTCCTTTTATAATTATAGCAATCCTATAAAATGGGAACTGTAATTATTCTCATTTTACAGGTGAAGAATCTGGGTCACAGAGATGCTAAGTAACTTTTTCTGACTACATGGAGAGTGGCAAGTGAAGCTAAAAGGCAGCCAGCTCAGCATGCTGGATCTTAACTTCCATGCTCTGATGCCTGTACTATTAATAAACAAATATTTTTCAACTTAAATAGGAAAGTAAATGAAAATATTAAATTGTTTTCTGTAGGGTTCAAAACAGCTTCATGTATGATATCAATTTCTTGGTATTTTTCTTGACTTCTTTCAGAACATAATATACTTGCTTGATAAAAGTAGGGAAAAGATGAGAAAGAGAAGAAGAAAAGTATTGATGTGCTAGAGGTGGCATATGGTGTCCGATTTGATCTTCTCAATACCACTTTGAGGTATACTACATGAAGTAAAATTGTAGAATCATGTCATACGAGTTCAAGTCCAGTGTTATTCCCTCTGCACTGTGAGTCTGAAGGACAGTCTATGTGCAGGCTGTAAAGAAGAAATCAAAGACAACCACACTCTCAGCTATACTCCTACACATGAATAAAGTTACTTTTAGCAATATAATTTTTAAAAAATAAATAACATATTTCTAATTTAAAACGATGCCTAGCTAGTATCCCCTCATGCAACTGCTTCTAATTCTCCATTAGCATACCTACGAAGTCACAGTAAAAAATGAAAATGAATATTACCATTGAAATCACAGATGACTGATAACCTTTTGCTAGGATCTTAGAGGCATGTGCACTGACAATAGAATCAATGAAGGTGCCTGTAACCCCAGCACTTTGGGAGGCCGGGGCGGGCGGATCATCTGAGGTTGGGAGCTCGAGATCAGCCTGATCAACATGGGGAAACCCAGTCTCTACTAAAAATACAATATTAGCTGGGCATGGTGGCACATGCCTATAATCCCAGCTACTCAGGAAGGCTGAGGCAGGAGAATTGCTTGAACTTTGGAGGCAGAGGTTGCAGTGAGCCGAGATTGCGCCAGCCTGGGCAACAAGAGCGAAACTCGGTCTTGAAGAAAGAAAGAATCAATGAAGGTGGACAACATTGAGAACACATGCTTCAGCTCATGAATGAAGCAACCTCAAAATCTGAACTGGCAAGGTGAATGGGAATGGTCTGATTGTGGTGAGGGTAGTCAGATTTTTGTTGCTCCCTCCCCATGCTCCATACACCGCACCACCTTTCTTTAGTCACATTAATAACTTTCTTCCCCTCAGTCTTCCCTATGTAAGTCAATACTGAGCTGATCAAGAGAAATGCTGGAATTCATTCTTCTTTCCTCCCTTTCTTTACCACTATTCCATCTTTCCCATTTACATCTAATCAACCACCAAGTCTTGTTGACTTTATCTTCAAGAATGTATCTTAAATATGTAACTTTTTCTCATCAGCATTGCCAACACCCTGGCCTAAGCCACCGTCATCTCTCACCTTCATCACTACCATAGCCTCCTACACTGAGTTCCCTGCCTGCTCTAATCTAATCTCCACAAAGCACCCAGTGTGAACTTATTAAAACTTAAACTGCATTAATATTACCTACTTATTTCAGTAGCATCAAATTTCCCTTTATGTAAAATCCAAATTCCTTGCCATATCCTAACTCCAAAGTCCTATGTGATCTGGTCATTTTCTCTTCATATTGCCTCAGCCACACCAGCCTATAAGTTCATCAAACACATAAAGCTCTTATTTATTTATTTATTTATTTATTTATTGCCTTAGAGGTTTGCGTATCACAGTCCTTGTGTTTGGAGTGTTTTCCTTCTTCTTCATCTGGCAGCCTCTCCCTCATGATTTGAGTATTAAGTGGCAGCTCCTTATAGAAGTTCTTCACAACTACCATTATTCTCTCAAACTGCATGCTAGTGTTTTTCCTTTATCTTGTTTATCATAATTTATCACTCCTTAATTAATAATTTTACTTGTTTATATTGTTTGTCTTTCCATTAAAACCACAGGAGGGCAAGGACCATACCTAGTTTCTGTCAATGCGCAGGGCCTGCCAAAGGGTTGATACTACATAAACATTTCTTGAACAAATGAATCAGAGAATCCACCAGATGCTGCAGCCCTCAAGAAACAACAGGAGAGGAAATAAATGGCGGCATATTTCAATGTGGTGGCACATTTCAACGTTCTTACAAGTGAAGGGTAAGATAGACGGAAAATCTTGGGAACATTCACAAATAGCACTGTGGTCTTTTTTATACTCCACTAGAGCAGAATGCCAGAGGGCAGGGGTAAGAAAAGATTCTGCTGCACCCAACGAAGCTACACTAAGCAGTTGCCTCCTAACACCAAATATGGGGCATGAGGCTATGCTTGTCAAACAAACTTTTTATCTACAGACCTAAGACGATGACATTGGTAATGGGGAACTAAGTAATTTAGAATAGGCTTTCCATCGAAGACAACTAAAAAAAAGGTGGATAACACATAATACAACATTATGCGGCTATAAGAGGGAGTGAAGAATATCTTAATTTACTCATACAAAGTGATCTTTGGGATGTATTATTGAAAGAACAAAATAAAGAGTCAGAAAGGAATATATAGTATTCTACTTTTCATGTAAGAACAGCAGGAAGGGGGTGGTAAATAAGTGTCTGTACTTGTATGTTTTTGTTTGCCAAAAAAGAAACAACAAAAGGAAAACCTAATGGAACTAATGAAAATGTTTACCTATATGTGGACAGAGGAAGCATAGCAAAGTGGGCAGGGATGAAAATAAAACCTCTTTGAATATACCTGGTTTTAAAGTTTTGAACTTGGAACAAGGTAAATATATTCATAGAAGAAAACCAAATAAAAAACAAAATAAGGGAATCTCTAAAAACAGAAAATTAATGAAAACAAATGAATCTAATTGTTTGTGCCATAACCACACAAAGAAAAAAATTATTTCAGGTGACTTTGGGACATAATATTCTGACTACCAGTAAAAGATTTTAAAGAAAAACATTCTTTAAAAGAATATTATGTAAGGGAATACAGAACTACAAGGAAATCTTAAACTTTACTCAATAGTGATATTGGCATTACTATACTGTACTTATTTTACAGTGTTTTAATTTATAATTTACATAATGCAAGTAATTATCTTACTGTTGTAAGGAATCAAGATTTTTAGATATGAGAAAAGAAATTCAGTATAAAGCTAAAACATTATGTAAAATATGTAAAATTCTGCATTATTAAATATAAAATAGCAATATAAGCATAAAATTTTATTTATAAAATGTATATTCTTAGTTCTTTTCCATGAAAAAGCATAAAAGAAAATAACTCAACAGAAATTAGTGCACCTAGTTTGTGGTCTCCAAATACTATTCCAGTCTGTAAAAACCAGAATTACTTAGAGGAGCGGCTGATTCCAGCTCTCAGGCAAAAAATATACAAAATACACAAGGAAGGTTCCAAAGACCAATAGAGTTATGTGAAAGTACACAGAGGTTTTTCTGGCCAAAGATGAGAATATTTGGGCATAAAAAAGATAATGAAAGCAATTATTGGCAACAGAATAAATATGTAAAAGCCTATGTGTTTATAATAAAATTATAAAAGGAGAGAAATTATTGGACACCACTGTAACAAGAAGAGCAACACTCTTTAAAAATATGTGATTAATATGAAAAAATTAAGCATATATTAAGTTTCTCCAGCATGAACTATATTTTGGGAAACCAAATAAACCTAGGTAATAAGATCAATTTCTGCTTTACAAAGTTCCAGGCAATAAATATAGGAAAAGTGAAATGATTAGAAAATCACAATTTTGCAACCCCAATGAAATAATAGATTATGATCTAAGACAATCATGAATGGATGAAGCCACAAGATGAAAGGTTGATGGGAAATTATACCAAGGATGCATCAGATTGTCATCACTTGAACCCAATTATTCATCAATCTCAGCATCAGTAAGAGTGTATCTTCTTGCTGTAATTCAACCCAAAGTACACAGCATCACCACAGTACATATCCCTGTAAAAATAATAAAATCCAAATCTAATCGAGTCTTTGTGGCTAACTTCCACTATAGGAAATATGGCAGGTGAAGGATCTAGTTAAATGACAAAGAAGCCAACTGAAAAACTGAATGTGTGATATTCTGTGAGACAATTGACTCGGGTTCTTCAATAAATCAATGGGATGAAAAATAAAATTATTTTAAAAAAAGAAGAAAGAGGAAGCTACTCTACATTAAATGACATTTAAAGGATGTAACAACCAAATACAGTATGTGGGCTTTGTTTGGCTTCTGACTCAAACAAACCAAGACAATTAGAAAAAGTTTAGTATTAGATAGTATCAAAATACCATTAATCCTTTTCTTAGTTGTATTGATGACAACATAGGCCATAATTATTGAAGAAAACTTCCATGTTATTTTAGAGATAGATATTGAAATTCTAGGGGTAAAATAACCTGATATCTGGCACTTATTTTAAAAATAGTTGAGAAGGAAGAAGAGAAAGAAAAAGAGACAGGAGGAAGACAGGTAGAGAGAGGAGGGAAGGCAGAGAAAGAGATGTAAAGTATAAGAAAATCTTAATAATAGTTAAAATCTGGGTAATGGATACATGAGAGCTCATTGCAACATTCTATTTTGTATATTTAAAATTTTTCAGAGAAATAAGAATGTTGAATTTATAGCTTGGTGAAGTAAACAGAGTCTTGGTTAGTTGGCTAGTTAGGTGAGACAAATACTTTATTCCTCATTATAATGATATGTGTTCTTTGTATTTGCCAGTTATTTAATATAAAGACATTAGGACTATAATGCTTTAAAGGGGGGCATGAAATAACTATCAAGAAAGGGAGCAATTACTTTGCTGAGATCTAGGAGAGGAGGGGAACCCAGAAAGTAGAACTCAGCATTCAAGGTAGTACATCCCTCATAAGAATGTCATGAGGACTGAGAGGTTAGTGATTGTCAAGTGCTTGCAGCAATGACTGGAATGTGCGTGCTAGTTAAATAACTAAAATGATTTTTAATATGTAATCGGTTTCCCTACTACATTATCCATATTTCAGTTTTGCTTTATTTTCAATTTCTTTTTAATTAATATATCATCATACAATGTACAAAGATTTCTGGATATTGGCATCGTACTTTTTTGGTTTTGTTTTAGGGAATCATGGGATGTATATAGAGTTTCTATTCTAAAAGCACTAGTCTTTCTTGGGCTGGGCAGATTTTTCTCATCCTGTTTATAGCTACCCCCTTGTATTTTTTCTGGAGTTGATTGTCAATACGGGGCATCTTTGCAATGACCATGTTATCTGATGGTCATCTCAACACCATATAATGATGTCCATAATCAACATCACTTTGTGTAGATTAAAAATAATAGCTGTTAAGCAACATTTCATCAGGGTCACATGATAACCAATAATTAAAACAATTTTTTCAATTTGGTTGGCTGTTTTAATATTTGCGTACATTACCTATGGTAAATGGATGCAATAGAGATGCTAGAACAAAATTCTAGCATTATCTTTGAAGTTCTTTGTTTGAATATTCACTATGTCCTCTAATAGTAAGAATGGCCCAAGATCTGCCCAGCCATGTTCCCATGTGGATATGGGTACCAAATCTGAAGGGAAAACATCTATTTTCAAAAAGGGCTGGTCAGCGCAAGGAAAAGTGTCCTTGAGGCATTTGTGAACTTATACAGGCCACCAAGTTTGCTCCATTCATTCATCTCAAGGAGCATCAGCGTATAGAGGCACGAAGGTGGTATATGGGTGAGAAGGTGGTACGGAGGTCACAATTTTGTTTCTTGCTCTTGTCTTCACCTGCTCCAATCTGTGGCCTGAAGCTACACTGCAATTCTGATAGGTCACTATTAACAATGCCAAGTAGCAATCTGTCAGGAAGAATTATAAATGAGCCAAAGAGCAGGTGGTTAATGCAAAAGGAATCTCAGACAAATAGGAGACATAAGTCTTTCCTCCATACTTCCTTTCCTCTGTTTATTGTCCTGATATCAGATTAGCTGCTGGAGTTTAAAAGCCTATTATTCTCAAGATGTCTTTCAGACAATTTAACTCAATAGTTATAGGGCAAAAAATAATTCTCTCTCGGAGGTGGAAGGGAAGGGGAAACAGAGCACACACAACTTCTTTCAGATAATTTTTTTCTTTAGAAGAAAATTAAAGTAACATAGGGGACTTCCAAGAACCAAGGGGTCCACAAATTACTGTTAGATTCGTGCTAGAAATCCAGGCCAGATACTACAGGGCAAGATGATTATGGTTCCCAGTACTGTCCAAAGACAGTAATCTGTGAGTACCATGTCTTAGGTGCTATGTAACTATCCATCTTGAATGGAGTGCCTGTGCTGGACAGCATGGACAAGTTAACCACTCTAGGACTCTGCTTCTACACAAACATGATAAGGAGGTTGGATTAGTTGCTCATTTGGATCTTTGGAAACTGCTATTCTAGTATGATGGCTTCATGTGCTAGGGCAAGTGGCCTGCTTCTGAAACTCAAAAATATTTGTTTTAGCAGGATAAGAAAAATGTGGATTATTTTCATCTTACTATTTAATAGTAGCAGAATGTCTGTGTGGTTCCATCTCTGCCTCAATAGTAAATGACAAATACTAATATAATCAAGTTGATTTGGGGTTCTCAATAAGCTCTCACAAGCTGGAACTGCCAACGAGATGCTTTAAAAATATTCCCTTTTGTATAGTGAAACAACTTTGGAAATTGTAACTTAAGAATATGAGTATTTATTTATAGCCCACCTTTTGGCTGAGATTTGACATGACGTTTTTCTTTCAACAAAACTCTGAAGTGGCACACCATGATTTGTAATTTTATTTGGCTATTGTCTGCATATGCAGACAATTGAAATGCAGAAAGTTGAAAAATTATTCAAATTCTACCAAGTGTATTTACAGTTACTTTTCTGTGACTCAGATTCCCTCCTTCAAAACATTTTAAAGTCTCCATATAGAATCAAGATTGGACTTTTCAGAGAAGGGAAAAAGTAAATGAAAGAGACCAAGTTTTTGTCTTTTCTCAGAGGATGATGAAGTAGATTTTAGAGTCTTAAACTACATTGAAGGGCTGGGTTGGCAATAAATCTCTACTTGCAACTTGAACTACTGAGTCTCCATAGATGTTTCAGACCTGTGTCTGACTGGCTCATAAGAATTAGGAATACTCTTCATAAGCATCTTAGAGTGGATCAGAATCAGATCATTACCCGAAAGGGAAAGGTAGTTTACTCCTGAGTCCTTACCTCATTACAATTTTTTCTTATCAACTGACCCAAATTTAGACTTTGCAGATAGAAATGACATGTATCCGACAGCATATTAGCCTAAATGATTCAATATAAAGGTCAAACCTCACATAAAAGAAGAGTCCAATAAAGAAGTTTACAACATTCCCCAGAATTGCTCTTCTCATTTAATTTAATAATCCCAGCACTTTGGGAGGCTGAGGTGGACAGATCATGAGGTCAGGAGTTCGAGACCAGCCTGGCCAATATGGTGAAATTCTATCTCTACTAAAAAAAAAAAAAAAAAAAAAAACAACTAGCCAGGCATGGTGGTGTGCGCCTGTAGTCCCAGCTACTCAGGAGGCTGAGGCAGGAGAATCACCTGAACCCGGGAGGTGGAGGTTGCAGTGAGCCGAGATCACGCCATTGCACTCCAGCCTGGGTGACAGAGCGAGACTCCATCTCACAAAAGTCAATCAATCAATCAATCAATCAATAATAAGATTTGCCCATCTTAAAATATTATTCTCAGCACTCTCTACTCTCTTGCTTCCCTCACATTCTTCCTCAGGCTCCTTCATTTTTTCTTTCTGCCTCCAGCAGCATCCTCTCTCATCCCTGCTTACATATCCACCTATAGAGTCCTTCCTCCCATCAAGCATGGCCTGCTTCCAGGTCCCATCTCTCAGGCTCTGAGAAATAGTGCTTTAACTTCTGCCAGCCCTTCTGGCATTTACTGTATAGATTTCTGTTCATGTTGCCCCTGCCCTGTGTTAAAACTATATATGCTTATGTGTTTTCTTCTAGACTGTAAACTTGAAGACAGACGTGGTTGATGTTGACCTTTGTATTTATTGCATTATATTCTACATAATGGATATTCCATAAATTTTTTGAATTGAATTCACTTGCATTTAGTCTTTCTTAATGTATAATTAATAATGTACACATATATGTCAATGATACGGGAAAATGAAGTAAAATGAAGGTTAAATGTAAAGAAGAAACAAGAGTAGAAACTTCAGAAATTATCAGTGTTCATTTTTTGCACTAGGATGCACAGTTAGGTTTCATTGCCTCAAACCTTAATTTCCAATAATAAATAATGTCATTCCCGAGAGAGGAGGAAAGAGGAAAACAACCGAAATTTGAGGAGTCAGGGATTATGCTTGCTGCTCTTTTTTTTTTTTTGGAAGTAAAATATGTTTACTTGTTAAAATATTTGAGCCGAAATTATTTCACATGTGAACATAAAAAATAGATTTAAGACTATTCTCCATTTAGCAGAATTTGCTCTGAATTTCCCAAGTACCCCAGAACCTATAGAGGGAGTACTTTCTTATTTTAATATGTTTAATTGACAAATAAAAATTGCATATATTTAAGGTGTACAACATGGTGATTTGATATACATATATATTGTGTACCAATTACCAGAGTCAAGTTAATTAACACATTACCACCCATAGTTACCATTTTGTGTATTTATATGTATGTGTGGTAAGGACACTTAAAATCTGCTCTCTCAGGCTGGGTGTGGTGGCTCACACCTGTAATTCCAGCATTTTGGGAGGCTGAGGTGGGTGGATCACCTGAGGTCAGGAGTTCAAGACCAGCCTGGCCAACATGGCGAAACCCCGTCTCTACTAAAGATACAAAAACTTAGCTGGGCATGGTGGGGGGATACCTGTAATCCCAGCTACTCAGGAGGCTGAGGCCAAATTGCTTGAACCTGGGAGGTGGAGGTTTCAGTGAGCCGAGATCGCACCATTGCACTCCAGCCTGGGCAACAAGAGTGAAACTCTGTCTCAAAAAGAAAAAAAAAAAATCTGTTCTCTCATCAAATTTCAAGCAAACAATACAGCATTATTAACCATAGTTACTATGCTGTACATTAGATACCTATAATTTATTATCTTATAAACTAAATATTTATACTCTTTGACTAACATCTTCCTATTTCCTTCACTCCCTAGGCCCTGGCAACTATCGTTCTACTGTCTACTTCTATGGGTTTGATTTTTTTAGATGTTATGTATAAATGAGATCATGCCTTGTCTTTCTGTGTCTGGCTTATTTCACTTAGCATAATTTTTCTGCAGGTTGATCCATTGTTGTTGTAAGTGGTATGACTTCCTTTTTTAAGGCTGAGTAATATTCCATTGTGTGTGTGTGTGTGTGTGTGTGTGTGTGTGTGTGTGTGTACATAATCACCTTTTCTTTATCCATTTATCCATTGATGGACTCTTAGGTACTTCCATAGTGTGGCTGTTGCGAATAATGCTGCAGTGAACATGAGAGTGCAGATACCTCTTTGACACACTGATTTCATTTGCTGTAGATATAAACCCAGAAGTGGGATTGATGGGTCATATGATAGTTCTATTTTTAATTTTTCGAGGAACCTCCATACTGTTTTCTATAATGGCTATACCAATTTACATTTCCACTAACAGTTGCACTTGGTACTTTAAGACAGGCATTGCTATTCTCATTTTTCAGGGAGGTTGAGTCACTGCACAGCCTGCCACAGACAATAGAGCTGGGACCAGAATCTGGACTCAGGAGTGTGGGTTGCCAAAGGCCTAGCTCTTCTAATGTGCTGTACTGCCTTCCTAAGCAATGATGATGGTAAAATGTTTTTTTAAAAAAAAGATATGCAGACACACCACTGTCAAAGAAAGCCCAGTTTTCTTTTACAAGTTTGCTTCTATATTTCAGATGCCACTAATGCACTGTCAATCAGAAAAGGGCAGGATTTGTAAGTTCCAATCAACTTAGGGTCACCCTGAGGTCTTTCAACTTCCCTGTACCTAGAATGATCTTCCCCCTAGTAGCTGCGCCCTTATCCTGTCACTCCATCAGGTCTTTGCTCAAATGACATCTGTCAGAAAGACTTGCTCTGACCATCCTGTGTAAATCAGCAGCCCCATCCCCACCCACCAAGCTTTCTGGCTCAACATACTGTATTTTTCCTCAGAGTATGCATCCCCATCTGACACACCATGAGATATTTGTCTATTTGTGTGGTGCCAGTCTTCTGCTCACTAGAATGTAAGCAAGCTCTATGAGGGTAGGGAGTTTGCTCTGTTTGTTCACTGATGTATCCTCATTGTCCAGAGAGTGCCTGGCACATGGCCACCCCCAGTATGTATTTATTGAATGGATGAACAAACACAGAAAAGACCATTCTACAGCTCACATAGATGATTCATAATTAATGCTATTGGCAGTTCCTCAATGACTAGAAAATTTGGAATATTTTTCTTCCCCCAATTTACATTCCTGGTGTCCAGAAGATTCCTGCCTTTGCTCACCTTACCACTTCCCAAACTACTCCCTACAACTTCTCTCTTGTTTTTGCCATAGGTGACTTTTATCACAAATCAACCATATAGACCTAGAATTGTTATTAATTGTGAAATTTCTTGCAGCAAATCATACGTGTCACCTACAGGCTCCCCAGGATCTTTGTAGTACTACACACAATTCAGCACACAACTTATAGATTAAAAAGAAAAACTTGTATTGCTGATTTCTTCACATTACCAAACTTGCCTACTCTGATAGCTTATGTTTGGAGCATTTATTAAGGGCCCTGTAAGTTAGATGCTGATAGAATAATATAATACACGGACACTCTTGTATTGCCTGCAGAGCTCTCAGTCCTAGTTTTGCAGATCAGATCTGCACCTGAAGCCACTCAAACACTTCACACCCAAAGCCAAGTGCTACAGAAGCCTCCGTGAAGAACAATGTAGAAGTGTTTGTAAAGGAGCAATAACACTGCAAGGCAAGCATCAGAAATAGTAAAGGGGACTGAAAGAATAGAAAATAAAACAAAAAAAATCAAATTTTTTAAAATAAACATCGTTGGCCCATGCCACATCTTTTCTGGATTAAGCTAGATGGACATTTTGTGAAAGTTCATTTTGGAGAGTTTTTTGTTTTTGGCCCCAGTTCACCTACTCCAGCCCTCTTGCATCTCTGTAAAGCCTCTCCTCTCTGTACCTTTTGCTTCACCATTCAGTGCATGAGTGTCTTCAACAAAAAACTTTTTGTTGAAAATTCTAGGATTTACCTTCTCATAATACAAATTCTCAAAGCTTTATAATGAGTCAGAAACTTTCCAAGCCTTCTAACAGAAAGAGCATTAAATCATTATTTAATTTTAAAACATATGGTTTACTGAATTCTTTATTGATTTTACAAACAAGATTATTTGGCTGACTGAGTATATGGGTGTGTATACTTTGCTCTCTCAAAACTGTCAAATTAGTCTGCACAGGAAGATGCACCCCTTATGTTTCAGTCACTCAAGTGCTCTTTATCTCTAACAGTCTGAGCTTCAACAGGGACTGTTTTATCCTCTTACTCATGTGAATGTGAATAGGAAGTCTATACAGGTGCTGGTTTGAGTAATGGAATTTACGACAGACCCAGCCTCTGTTCTATCAAATTAAGGATACAGATGGCCCTTTGAATACAACAACAACAAAAAAGTGAGGCAAGAGTAGAATCTGAAGGGACACCCATAAAACCAAGGTGACATAGGCATTTACTACACCAAAAAGAAAGGTTGTTTAGATTTGTTGCCAGAACGTAAAAAAAGAAAAATGTGTGTTCCTCATTTTCCTGGCTCTGCAGCTTATATTTTCAACATCTTTGTGAGGGCTTCTGTTGCCATTGCATTACTTTCTGGCTGTCTGGATGGGTTGCTCTGGTGTGGAGCGAGCATCCTCACAATGATCCCACACTGTCTGCAGGCCACTCCTGATCTTCCACAATGTATTTCTGATGCCCACAAATGGCCATGGGCTTGTTTCTTCCCTGACGTAGCCTTGTCTACCGTGTGAGGGAGTGAGGTCCCACACACTGGATCTCAAAGAAGGTTCAAACATACACTTAAGCATTCCTGTGATAATTGCCAACCCATGGGGGACAGTAGGAGACTATAAATTGTCCTGTCTGGCTATGTCATTCCCTCATACTGCAGAGTAAAGCAAGACCTTGGGGAGGTAGAGGTTAGAAGCAGGGGCCTCAGAAGGTGACTGTGGAGTGTCCTCTTTCCCTGAGGTACCTCTATTTGCCTCCTTTGTCTGTAGCCCTCTCAATTTAATCTCAATATTCTGGCTCCCAGGGAAAGCTGCTTTTTTTTTTTTTTTTTTTTTTTTTTGAGATAGGGTCTCACTCTGTCACCCAGGCTGGAGTGCGAATGGCATAATCGTAGCTCACTGCAGCTCAAACTAAATCCTGGACTCAAGGAATCCTCCTATCTTAGTCTACCAAGTTGATGGGACTACAGGCAAGTACCACCACACCCAGCTAGTTTTTAAAAAGATTTTTTTTTTGTAGAGATGAAATCTCACTATGTTGCCCAGACTCATCTGTAATTCCTGTTCTCAAGCAGAAATCTGCATTTTTAACCAACACTTCAATAGGTTCTAAGGCAGAGACTTCAAGGAGAATGCCTGCTACGTTCAAAAAGCACCAGCCTACATAGTAAAGCCGAGTCCCTTAGCGTGGTATTGGTGAATTTTTCCAGCTCCCTCTTCTGCTCCTCTCCTGCACCCACTTCACTTAACCCACAACTCCCTGCAATTAACATTTGGCCAAAACTGAACTCTTAACATTTTCTGAACACACGGAGTTACATCAAAATTCAGAGCTTTTGCACCGACTACAATGGCCTGTTTTCATCTTCAGGCCTTGCAAAGTCCTGCTTATTTTGAAAGAGGCAGTGTGGAGCCACTTTATCTGATAATGCCCTATGGTTCCCTTCCTGCTCTTTTATGCACCCTCTGTCTTCTTTCTCAAGCCATAATTCCTCCTCTCTCCCTCTGTGGGGTTAATTCGCTTACACTTCTCATTGTCCTTATCATACTCAATGGAAAAACCAAATCACCTCCTCCTTAAAGTTTTTGCAGATTTTGTGAGATATGCTGTTTCTTAAATATCCATGATGTTTTCTTAACCTGCCTTATGTCACCTGTCACATTCTATCTTAAAATTAATGGTATATGTTAATAATATTTACTGTTAATAATGTGCTAATTATGTAATGTACTATTATGTAGTACCACTAATAAAATTAATAGCACATATTGATAGTACATAGTACATATATGTACATATATATAGCACTTGATATGTGTCAGACCCTATTCTAAGCACTTTTCATAATTAACACACTTAAGCCTCATATCAACTTTTGGAAGTGTCACTATTACCCCCCATTTTGCAGGTGAGGAAATTAAAAACAGAAGGGCTAAGTGGCTTACAAAGTCACACCACTACTAAGTGGCTAAGCCATAGTTCAAACCTGGTTAGTCTTGTTCCAGAGACCATGCTCCTAACTGTTACTCTACATAGCTCCTTTGTGTTTTTGGAGTTGTTTATGTACTTAACACGACTTTTTTTTCTTCCCTCTTGGCATCCTGTGGCTCCTGGAACATGGTGAGCACTCTTCAAACACTTGAGGAGTGAAACTACATGGGAAGAGTTTTTTTAGGAGGTCATAGAATTCTCACGTTTGGGAACTGACATGATTTGACTCTGTGTCCCCACCCAAATCTCATCTTGAATTGTAATCCCCACATGTCAGAAGAGGGGCCTAATGGGAGGTGATTAGATTATGGGGATGGATTTCCCCTTTGCTGTTCTCGTGATAGTGAGTGGGTTCTCATGAGATCTGATGGTTTAAAAGTGTGGCACTTCCCCTTTCAATCTCTCTCTCCTGTTGCCATGTAAGATGTGCCTTGCTTCCCCTTTGCCTTCCGTCATGTTTGTAAGTTTTCTGGGGCCTCCCCAGTCATGTGAAACTGTAAGTCAATTAAACCTCTTTTCTTTATAAATGACCCAGTCCCAGGTATGTTTTTATAGCAATAGGAGAACGGACTAATACAGGAACCCTTAGGGAAAAAACTTCATTATATCTGAAACTGAAATTTCTGGTGATGGTAAAGGGCAAAGCATAAATCCGTACTGGAAGTTAGCATTTTCTCATGATTCTTCTTCTCTTGCATACCTTTCCAAGTAGTTTTCATTTTCATTTGTTTTACATTTTCTTAAGATATGTTCACACTTATATTTTAAACTATGGAAAGAAAAAGATCACTTGCAAATGCCAACTGGGAAGAGTGTTTATTTTAAACAATGCTGTTCCGGTGCACCAGCTGCTGTTGCTATGCTTGTATATTGGTTGCTAGGGGTAGTGAGGAGAATTAAGCCTGTGATGTCAAGGTGACAAGTTGCTTCAACCCTATGTTCTATTGGCTAGGATTTTTCTGAGATGAGGAAATCTCAGTCCTGAGCAATTAGCAAAGTACTTGGTTTCAACTTGCAGAAATAACTCATATTGCAATAAGTTTATTGTAATCTAGTAGTTTTCTAAGGGTAGAAGAAACTCGGAAAGTAAATATAGTACCTGGGATTTTAGGATTCAGAATTTGGACAAGATTTTTTAAAAGTTTACATTTCCCCCAAGGGATAATTAAACCATTACAGAAAGTTAATATCAGTGCTGTAAAATGAGAAAAGGAAAACCTGCCTTTAATGCCAGGGTATGTTATCTGTCCAAAAGGGGATTTATTTAAATATGTCAGTTGCCATATCAACACTGGAAAAGAGACTTCACTATTTTCGAAATTATCCCACTATGAAAGTAGGTTTGTAGATTCGAGTTTATACAGAAAATATTTGTGTGTGCATAATGTTGCCTGGAATTTACATTCAAACTGATTAAAAATTCCTTAAGCACCTGCTACAAGTAAAACATTGTCTTAGGAATGCAGAGTGATCCAACCATCCCAGTTTGCTTGGAGCTGCCCCAGTTTTGGTACTGAAAAATCTCATGTCCTGGGAAACCCCTCAGTCCTGGGCAAACTGAGACCGGTGGTTATCATACAAAGAGAAAACCAAATAAGACTAAAATTATGTCCAAACACTTTCATTGTGGCTAGGAACACAAGTTGAACACCCTAATAAGGAACACAAATAATAAAAGCTTGCATTATTGAGTGCTTATATGAGGTAAGTATTATACTATTATCTCCATTTTAAAGATAAGCAAACTGAGACATAGTAAGGGTAAATAAGTTAGTTAGTGAAGGCACCAGAATTTAAACCCAGAAAGTTTGGTTTTAGAGCATACACTACAATCAGCACTGTATGGAAAGATATCTAAGAGCAGAGACAGGCAGAGATGGGAGCACTGGGGAAGACATCATGGAGGGGCTAGATGGCTACATCTTGGCTTTAAAAAGTGAGCAAAAGTAAGAGTTAGAAAGGAGATGAAAGTATCATTTATAAATGGGAAAATCACACAAGCAGTGGTCTGTAGTGATCACACAAGCAGTGGACTGGAGTGAAGAATGGGCTGAACCTTCTTTTTCCAGAGGCAGAAAGGAGTAAGTTTTAGGGAAAAGGTTGGAGCCCTTTTCCCTAATAGGGGGGTACTGGTACAAATGAATGTAAAGAGAGAGAGAAAGAGAGAGAGAAGAACAAAGAAAAGAAAAGAAAGAGAAAGAAAAGAATAGAGAGGGAGAGGGAAGAAGGGAGGGAAGGAGGGAAGGGAGGAAGGAAGGAAGGGAGGGAGAAGCTTTCCTAGGAGAGATTTAACCTCTTGGGTCACAGACAAGGTCACCTACTGAGCGGTGGATTGAGAGCTAGGGGAAAGCTGTGAAGGTTTACAAGCTCCTTTCTTGAGCTGTTTTAGGAAATCCACAGGTGTCCAACAAGAGGATTCCTGAGCAGTAGGAGGGAGTTGAAATTGCACAGTAATAATTTTTAATTCAAAAATAACATAGCCATATTATAAGAAATTCTGGAAAATGGAGAAATCTTCCATAAAGTATGCTATAATTTTGGATTTTTACCATATGTTTGTTTCTTTTTTTCTTTTTCTTTTATTATTATACTTTAAGTTTTAGGGTACATGTGCACATTGTGCAGGTTAGTTACGTATGTATACATGTGCCACGCTGTTGCGCTGCACCCACTAACTCGTCATCTAGCATTAGGTATATCTCCCAATGCTATCCCTCCCCCCTCCCCCAACCCCACAGCAGGCCCCAGAGTGCGATGTTCCCCTTCCTGTGTCCATGTGATCTCATTGTTCAGTTCCCACCTATGAGTGAGAATATACGGTGTTTGGTTTTTTGTTCTTGCGATAGTTTACTGAGAATGATGATTCTTTCACACCTAAAATCATAGTGTACTTATAGATCCAAATCATGCATTTGTTTTTTACTTAATTTATTACTATAAGTATTTTCCATGTTATTGCATAGTCTTTATAACCATCATTTTAAAGACCAGTTAATACATTATCTGGGGTTTTAAGATTCAGAATTTGGACAAGAGTTTTAAAACTTTACAGCTCTCCAAGGATGATTAAACCATTACAGAAGGTTATATCCGTGTTGGGTATCTATCCTGGGTATAGTCCATAATTTCCTTAATCATTATACTTCGTTAATATTTCTAACGTTTTCCTTCCATAAATGAAGCTAGAATGACATCTTCAGGCTTATATTTTTCCCACAATCCAGCTAGCTCTCATATGGGTCTTATATTTTGTCTTTTCTTAGCTTCCATGTGGCTATGAATAAGATTCATTTTTCACATAAACATACACATGCTAACATATCCAAGTGTGTGTTGTCTCCTTTAAAGAAGCAAAAAGTGTTTCCTCGGAGAAGCATTTACTTATCTTGCTGGCATTTTTAATGACTTTGAATGTTTGGATCTGTTTTCTTCTTTGTAATGCCTTCAGATATATCTTTGCCACCTGGGAATATTGGCCTGTGTCTTGTCTATATCCTCAATTCTCATTATTTAGCCACATCACTTCCTGCCTTAGAGGACTTAGCATTAAATAACATTGGGTTTGACCAAAATCTTTATTACCACCCAGACTTTCACCTCAGAAATCCCTGCCTCTGTTCCCAGCTTCTGACAATAGCCCATACACACCCTTGTGTCTCTCTCAAACCCCGATCCCTCCCTGCTGCTGATGGAGCTCATAGAGATCTCTTCTTCCCATTTTTTTTCAAATCTTTAAACCAGCTCTTAACTTCCCAGCTTTTCCCTCTTATGCCTGTGACTTCCTTCATCCCCTCTTCCAGCAGCCCCCTGTCCTGCCTCACCTTTCTACTGCCCTGTCCTACCAATGCTCACCCTGGGCCAGTTCACCTGCATGCAGTCTCCACCCCCACACCTGGCCCAGAGCCCTGCTGGGTCCAGTAGCAGGGGATACCTCACAAATGTGGCCTCCCATCCAAGCTGTGTCCTCAGGCTTCTCAGCAGCCTTTCCCTCTCAGGGACTTCCCCAGTCTCCCATGTCCCTGACTACCTGTATTCTTCAGCTCTTGGCTCTTGAACAGTAACTCCTTTGTTATCTCAGAGAAAACAGAGGCTGACAGGTGTGAACTTCTTGATCTTCCCACTCCATACCTGTAAATTTGTCTTTCTTTAAATCCTGCCTTTCTTTCTTCTTCTTTTTCTCAGAGAAAGTATTGCTCCTTTTTCTGTCTAAAGCGAATCCTTTTACTTTCCACTGATACTGTCCCATTCAGATTCCTCTGAGACCATGTCCCATCAATAATAAGTTCTCTTTCATTTCCACTGGTTCCTTCTTTCAACATGGAGATACACTTAAGACTCTCCCATCTTAAGGGAGAAAGGAAGACAGAGTTATAATAAGTGCCTACTGTATGTTGGTTACTTGAGAATATATTATCTTATATAATCCTCATAACAGGTTTATTAGTTAGGTGTTATTATCTTTATTCTTTGATTTAGATAAGAAAACCAAGATTCAGGGAGGTTAAATGGACCAAAGTTTTAAGTTAGTAAGTGGCAGAGCCAGAATTGAAACTGACTTGGTCTAATGGCAAAACCATGAATGCTGCCCTATTAGCCCACTCCAATTTCACTTGTCTTTCCCTTCACAATCATATTTCTTAATAGAGTAACAAATCACTTAAGTTCTACTTCAACCTGATTTGCTAATGAGTTGTCTCTGTGGGATTGTTTAAGATGTATCTACACACTGAATATGGAACCAGGAGCTTCTTACCCAACCTAGATAGCACTTGATTGGTCAGCAATGCAGAAAGAAACCTTGCTGACCAGGTTTCTTTGGCTACCCACTTGACTTGTGGATATTAATCACCATCTGCAGTAACTTTTTTCACAGGAAGGGTAATACTATATACATGAATAATAACAGTCAGTGATATGATGATGAATGTTTAACAACTGCTCTCTGAATAAAGATCTTTGATTAGTAGTGTTTGCCAATTTCTATAGTGAAATACTCCCACCATGAGGAGTATTTAATAATGCCTATGTTTAATAACTTTCTTGTAAAATCCTAAAAATTTAACAATCACAAGACTTTCTGAGCTGGTTCCAGTACACCATTGTATTAGCTAACAGTTATTGAGTACTTATTAAGTGTTTTCAGCATTCTAAATGCCAAGAAGTATTATCCCACTAATCCTGCAATACATTTTTATCCATTTCACAGATGAAGAAACTGAGAGATTAACTGGCCAAGGTCATGCCATCATGTGTGGGATCTAGAATTATACTGAGCGCCTAAAAATGCTATTTTCCTTTATGAAAAAAATATACAAACACCTCACTACTTTAGCCTTCTTTATTTCTAATAATGTTTTAAGGATCTGGTTCAAATTTTGACATCATATGATTTATGGAGAAGATGTATATTTAAAATAAATATGTAATGTTCTACCTTAGTAGAAGTAAGTACCAGGGAGGCAGGAGTCTGATCTTCTGATGATTCTGTATATCTAACATTAAGCTCAGTGTACAGCATGTAGCAATAACTTATAAAAAGTGCTGAAACAATGTAATATGGTAATTCTTATACCTTCAATGAAAGTCCCCTAAAACCTCTGTAAGGTATGTAAATGTATTTCAAATAATTAAAGATTTTATGTTTATATCCCTTGACAAAATAATACTACTCTCGGGATTTAATCCTTAGGAACTAATTCAATAGAAGGAAGAGAAAAAACAGATTATGCAAAGAGAAAAAATGTTCATTGCAGTGCTAGCTACAGAAGCAGAGAAATGAGATATACATAAATATCCAAAAATAGGGAAAAGGTTAAATTACAATACATTTCTTCATGTGACTTGCAGGTAGCCAATGAAAATGATAAGTTAATTTACCAAGATGAAAAAATTAGAGCAGGACATAAAAGTTTATTCACAACTTGATTGGGAACATGTTAATGGCCAAGAGTACAGGGTTTAGATTTGGACCTGGACTCGATCCCAGGATCTTTTACCTTGTCATGCCACCTAGGGCAAGTTGCTTAACTTTCCTAAGTCTCATTCTCCCCTTTAAAATGAGGACAACACTCTCAGAGTCATTGTGGGGACTAAATGAGCAACTATGGACAGTGCCTGGGACAGCATCAGGCACACATATCTAGTACATATGCATAGGAGCAAGGGCTGGTAGGGAATATGGACAAAGAAAAAATAATTGATGCCTTTGGGTAGAAAAACTGTGGCTTAATTTAAATTTTTTTTTGATATTTTCCTTTGCTGTGCAAAAGCTCTTTAGTTTGATAAGGTTCCACTTGTCTATTTTTGTTTTTGTTGCAATTGCTTCTGAGGACTTAGCCAAAAATTCTTTGCCAAAGCCAGTGTTAAGAAGAGTACTTCTTAGGTTGTCTGTCTTCCAGGATTTTTATAGTTTGAGGTCTTGTATTTAAGTTTTTAATGTATTTTGAGTTAATTTTTGTATATGGTGGAAGGTAGGGGTCTAGCTTCAATCTTCTGTGTATAGCCAGCCAGTTATCCCAGCACCATTTATTGATTAGCGATTCCTTTCCCCATTGCTTGTTTTTGTTGGCCTTGTTGAAGATAAGATGGTTGTAGGTGTATAGGTTTGTTTCTGAGTTTCCTCTTCTGTTCCACTGACCTGTGTGTCTGTTTTTGTACCAGTACCAAGCTGTTTTGGTTACGGTGGCTTTACAGTATATATATTTTGATGTCAGGTAGTGTGATGCCTCCAGTTTTGTTCTTTTTTTAAGGATTGCTTTGGTTATTTAGGCTCTTTTTTTTGGTCTCATATGAATTTTAGAATAGTTTTTATTCTGTGAAGAATGACTTTGGGAGTTTGATAGGAATAGCATTGAATCTGTAAATTGCTTTCAGCAGTATGGCCATTTTTTCTGATTTTGATTCTTTCAGTCCATGAGCATGGCATGTCTTTCCATTTATTTGTGTCATCTACAGCCTACAGAATGGAAGAAGATACTCACAAACTATGCATCAGATAAATGCCTAGTATCCAGAATCAATAGGGAACTTAAATCAACAAGCAAAAATCAAATAACCCCATCAAAATATGGATAAAGGACATGAACAGACACTTCTCAAAAGAAGACATACAAGTGGCTAACACACATACGGAAAAACGCTCAGCATCACTAATCATCAGAGAAATGCAAATCAAAACACAAAGAGATACCATATTATACTAATCAGAATGGCCATTATTAAACAGATGCTGGTAAGACTATGGAGAAAAGGGAGTGCTTATACCCTGTTCATTGGAATGTAAATTAGTTTAGCCACTGTGGGAAGCAGTCTGGAGATTTCTCAAAGAACTTAAAACAGGGCTACCATTTGACCCAGCAATCCCATCACTGGGTATATACCCAAAAGAAAATAAATCATTCTACCGAAAAGACATATGCACTTGTATGTTTATTGCAGTGCTATTTACACTAACAAAGACATGGAATCAACCCAGGTATGCAGCAATGGTAGATTGGATAAAGAAAATGTGGTACATATACACCATGGAATACTATACAGCCATAAAAAGAATGAAATCATGTACTTTGCAGCAACATGAATGGAGCTGGAGGCCATAATCCTAAGCAAATTCATGCAGGAACAAAAAGCAGCTACATACACCATGTCCTCACTTATAAATGGGAGGTAAACATTGAACACACATAGACATAAATATGGGAACAATAGAGACTGTGGACTATGAGAGGGTGGCAGGGGGGTGGGTTCGAAAACTACCTATTGAGGGCTATGCTCACTACTAGGGTGATGGGATTGCAGTATTCCCATGTGACAAATCTGCACATGTACCCTCTCTATCTAAAATAAAAGTTAAAATTAAAAAAAAACAATTATAATGGACAAAATAACATAAATATACTTCCAAATATTTAAATGGGAAAAAATTGTATTACATGACATATATGCAATAAATAAACAACTAATGGAAAAAGGAAATCGTATTTAAAATATTAAGGTTAGTCACGTTTAAAATAAATTAAATTTATCTCTTATTTAGACTCCTGTCACTCCAAACAAGTGAAGTCAGCCAAATGGACCATGATGATTTCTCTCAGGGTAGTCCTGTGAGGGACTGACGCTTCTGTGTTTCCTACTGCTCGTGAACTATTGAGAATCTGCCACCGTTCACTGGTTCACACAATTTCCACAAGACAAATGTGGAGTTAGACTCATTTTCATGCTATATGGGTATGCAGAATCATGCCCATCTGATGATAACGATGGTGTTGCCTGGTCCTTTGGATTCCTGCTCACATGTGGAAGGTATCTTGTACCTTCCAGGTTATCAGATCATACACTACTGTTTTTCTTCTTCCTCCTTGTTCATCTTCCTCTTATCAGACTAAAATTTTTAAAGATGAATTAAAGATGCCTGCATTATTTATCCCTTGACCTGCAAACAACCAGTAACTTCTTGGAATGTTTCAAAACCTAAGCTTTAGTTCTAATAAACTTTATTTGGGTGAGCACTTTGCGGGGTCCACCATGCAATATTCAAATCACATTTTTACTAAGAGGAAAATCATTGAGTGTTTAATATATCTGAAGTCATTATGATAGAGTTCCATGTAGCAAGAATCAATAATAATTACCTTGGTGTAAATTATTTTCATTCTTTAGGGAAAGCCTCAAGACTCAAAGATATTTTTAGAGAGAATACTTTTCTGAGTCTTCAACTCAAGCAAATATAAAATCCAGGGTTCAGTGTAAGCTCAAGGCTTGTCACTACCTGCTCAAATGTGAGAGCTGGTGCTTTAGGCATGCCCAAGTCTGCCAAGAGGCATGCGTCCTCTTATTAGTGGGGGCATTTAATTAAACCAAGACAGTCTTTCTGCCTGACCAGGGCAACTACTGATGAGAATAAAATTGATGGGAGATGAACAGTTAACAGCAGGAGATACATGGGAACAAGAAATAAAAGAGCCACAGTCAAACTGAAGAATATTGCTGTAGTATATTATATTTGACATTTGCTGCTGTGTCTAGTAATGCATCCCTTACTTCTCTCTCGCAGCCATGTTACTTCATTATTTTAAATTTTAGAAGCTTTGTTTTTTAAAAAATGACAAAAATCTATTTTTTGTTCCTCATTAGGGTGCATATTTAATTGAGTTCCTCTGTTCATTATATTTGAATGTTGCCATTCAACCAGAGGAAGGCTGGCAAAAATCATGTAAATGGCTATGCCTGGCTTTTCCAAAGTATTTAAAATTCTGTCGTTGTTTCCATAAGCCACAGACGGTGGGTTATATTTCATGGACAGACAGTGCATTCTTCTCTTGGGGTTTTTATGGACAGACTGTATAAAATGATAACACAATGAATGGGGTACCAGCTCTACTATATCAAGGGCTTAAATCAGCTATTTCAGACAGAAACTCAATGTGGTAGAGCACGTTTCAAATAGGTTTGCAGGTACAGGCTATCACACAAAATTTCTACATCTTTTGTGATTAATTCTCATGAAAGGTTAATGACATTTTTTACAATAAATTAGAGCTAAGGTTAGGGAGATTTTGGTAATATAGATTCAGGTGGTGACCTGAATAAAATTGATAAGATTTGCATGCCGGAATTGAAATAGAGATATGATCCATCTTCAAAATGACAAGGGTTTGGATGATTGTGGAGATATAGCAAAGGTGAATCTTCTACTTACCTATTCATAGTCCTTCCCATATCATATGATAGTTTTTATGATTTTATAATGCCATCTTTACTAGAGCACATTCCCCCACTTCCATGCTCTCCTTTCCTAAAGGGAAGTTTCTTCTCTGCAATTGTTTAAATGAAGCTATTTTAAGGTTAATTTATAATTAACCCGAAGTGAATCATAGTCATTAGAGCTTCCTTTTTGCTGTTTGTTTTAAATCTGTTTTGGAAAAAATGGTTTAAAGTGATTTCTTAAAGCTATCTCTAAGGAGTGTGAAGAAACATCTATTTGCAATTAATGATGCAGAAAATCAAGAATTACCCCCAGTTTGCCAGTGAAGAATATTTTGCATCAGTTTGAAATTCTCTTTAATGGAAAAAAATCAAAGGGAGTTAATTTTTATGCATAGCCTTTGATACAAACTTAAATTTCTAGCTACCCAGGTGTGATATGTGATCCAGATCATTTTTCCAGTTGTATTTCTCTTGAGAATCCTAAGTTTTGGTGTAGGATTTCTTTATTCAGAATGATTATGGCTAATAATCTATAATTATTAAATTTAATAATCAAATGCAACACTCAATATTGCAATAATATATTACGTAATATACACCAAAATATTTGTTCTAAATCATTGAAAGAATTTCTGTATTCTATGAGCTTCTCATTTAATCTTTTTCTAATTATTGTGATTTGTATACTTGCAAAGAAATCATATTGTGCAATGCACTGGAAAGTACCATATTTTGACTATCTAAAAAATAATAGGGAAAATGCAACTTCAAATACTCATAAATTATGATACTCTTCATGATCAATCTGTTTTATTTATTTTCTTATTTATGTCTCATTCACTCCCAAGAAGGAGATAAGGTGGCTTATAGTTAGAGTGACCATATAATTTATCTTCCAAACTTTTGAGAGTGAAAGTTTAATCATCATGCTGGGGCAAAAGACATAAGCTAGCACTATCCCAGGAAAGGTGGAAGATATAGTCATACCAAAAATCTCAAATACAATAAAACCATAGCCTAGACAACACAACATAAAAGGGCAAGGAAGTTATAAGACAGAGTATTGTACATTGTGTCTGGAAAGACATTCAAGCATGCTTGCTTGGTTTTGGTCTTTCTAGACACGACATACAGTATATCACTTAGCAGGTTATGAGCCAGGGATCTCCTATATTAATATTTTCTAAGTCATAAGGAATCCCGTATTAGCTAGGGTAGGCTAGCTGCTATAAAAAGGAACTCTACAATCTCAGTGGCATAAGACCATAAATGTTCATTTCTCACTCACATCAATGTTCATCACAGATTGGTGAGAAAGTGGTGATCTATGGGCCATGGCTCAGTAACCTAGGCAGACAAAGGTTCCCTTCTTTTGAACTTGGCACAAGAAAGGAAGCCTTAGGTTAAAAACAGTCAGCCAAAAAAATGTCAGAAGAGAAAGTGTGTGGAGGATTGCATGGAATTTTGTGCCAATTTCGCAAGTGACGTGCATCGCCTCCTCCCACATAGGTCCAAAACTCAATTTCATTATCCCATCTAACTGCAAGGGGAACTGGGAACCATGTTCTGACTGTCTACTCAGGATGAAGTGGAAATGGGGTTTGGTGAGCACCTATCAATCTCTCTCTCTCTCCCCATTTTGGTCACCAAGCACTCATTTCACACTTCATCCTTTAGGCAGAATGAGGAAATCTGAATCCCTGCGTGGACTTCAGAGTCTAGAATCTCTGGGAGGTGCCTGGTCCAACTTAACAGCTTCAGAGGTGGCTTCTTACCACCTGCTGACCTATGAATTAAAAAGGCAAAAATTATCAACTCACCCTCCTCTGTACCTTCAGCAAACCATAGCAGAACAAGGATAAACACCATGGCTGGCATTTTTCAACAGGGAAAAACAGATAATCAATAGTCAGCTAGAAAGCATTTTTCTTACCTTTGCTTTTGCAGATCCTTGCATTATTCTTTAATTTCAATCACAAATGTCATATCCTTTCTTTTTTGCTATTATTCATCTTGAGAAATTGCCAAAGTATTTGTATCATATTAAGAACCTATTAAATCTGTTTGGTCTCTTGTAGCTCAGATTAGCAACTATGAAGCTACTTAGTAAAATACTCTATAGTCCTTATTATTTAAAGCATATAATGGAGTTAACAACAAAAAGCTTCTTTATCAGTGATTTATAAGGATTACAGAAGAAGATTTACGAGCTCTAGAAGAGTTGAGGAAATTACTTCTGAAGCAAGATACGCAGGAAAGAAAGAAATAGTACAAAAGCAAAGTTCTTTGGTTTCATGACATTTAAATTATTGTTAACTGGCATATATTGGTCTGTGCCTCCCTAAACTTGGGCACTTTCTGTTTGTTTTTCTGTTTAGTGCCTAGGGACCATAATGACAGCCACTACATTTTGTTGGCACAAATGCCACTGCTGCAGAGAACTGAGAAAATATGTGAAACTTTGATAATATTTGTTGAAGATTTTAAGTCCTGAAATAAGAATAGAAGTAAGTAGTTGTATGCAAACATTTTAAATTTCAAAATAATTTTAGATTCACAAGAGTTGCAATCCTAGTACAGAGAGTTTCTGTATACCCTGCATCCAGTTTCTCCTCATGTTAACATCTAATGTAGCCAGGTACAGTTATCAAAGTAAGAAATTCAAACTGGCATAATATAACTGACCAAACCACAGACTTCATTTAGATCATTATTTTTCCCACTAATTTTTTTTTTCTGTTCTGGCATCTAATCCAGGATCCCACATTAAATTCTGTTGGCATGTCTCCTTAATCTCCTCTAATCTGCAACTGGTCCTCATTATTGCCTTGTTTTCTATCACCTTAACTCCTTTGAAGAATACTATCAGGTATTTTGTAGAATGTCCCACAATTTTGGTTTGCCTGATGTTTTCTCAGGGTTAGACTTAGGTTATGAGTTTGGGAGAATACCACAGAGGTAAAGTGCGTGCTTTGCTGTGTCATATAAGGAGCCACATGATATTACCCTGACTTATCACTAGTGATATTATCTTTGTTCACTTGTATAAAGTGATATCTGTCAGGTTTCTTTATGGTAAAGGTACTATTTTTCTTTTTGTAATTAATAGATATTCAGGGAGATAGTTTGGGTCAGTGCTTGCATTTTATCTTTCACTGCAGACACCTGCTTTTCCCTAGGTTCTGAGTAGTTGCTGGCCCTACAACCTCAGCATTCTGATGGGTAGAAGTTTGTAAACTTACTGTTTGTCAGTAATTTTGTCGTAAGCTTGAGAATAGCACTGTTTCCATCTCAGCAGAAACTGGAAGTCCAGTATTTGGAGTTCAAATAAGTGCTCTTCATATTAACTGTTATTGTTAGTTGTCAGAAGATCAATACTCCATTTCATTCTAGAAGATCAGTCTTAGTCAAATTTCATCATCCCGTTTCTTCTGCTAGTGATGTGCTTTGGAATCAGTATGTGACTGACTTGTAGCCAATGAGATATGAGAGGAAGCATGCTCTTGTTTTCCTAAGGAAAAATTCTTTTCTCTTAATAGGGGAAAATAAGTAAAAGATAGTTCACCTTCTACCTCTGGACATAGGTATGTCTGGATATATTGCTTAAAACTGTGGCTACCATTTTGTTTCCAATATGAAACTGAGGCCAACACTGAAAACAGCAAAACAAAAGCAGGAAAGAACCTGGATCTTTGATCATATTACTAAGCTGTCATTCCAATCAACCATGGTACTGAGCCTACCTATGGATTTCTAGTTACGAGCAATAGTAAATTTCTTTATTGTTTAAGCCAATTTGAGTTTTGGTATTTCAATTACTTGGATCCCAATGGCTTATAGCTGATATCACCACTTTAAGGAAAGTATGATTTTTATGCAAATATATTACAGCCTATTTATCTGTTCTATTGTTAATGGGCATTTGGATTATTTCCAGTTTTATTGTTTAGGAACTGTGCGGCTATGAACATTCTAATAGATGTCTTTTGTTGGAATGTCCACATTTCTTTTGCATGTACATATAGCCAAGAATGAAATTGCTCAGTTAGAAACAATGTTCATGTTAGGTTTTAGTAGCTATTGCGAAAAGCTTTTCTAAAGGGTTTATATTAATTTACACTCTTACCAGAAATGTATGAGAGTTATAGTTGCTCCATGTCCTTGTCAACACTTGGTACTATCAGTCTTTTTTTTAGGACTTCTTTTTTTTTTTTTTTTTTTGAGATGGAGTCTCACTGTGTCACCCAGGCTGGAGTGCAGTGGCACAATCTGGGCTCACTGCAAGCTCCGCCTCCCGGGTTCACGCCATTCTCCTGCCTCAGCTGCCTGAGTAGCTGGGACTACAGGCACCCACCACTATGCCCGGCTAATTTTTTGTATTTTTTTGTATTTTCTTTCTTTTTTTTTTTTTTTTAGTAGAGACAGGGTTTCACTGTGTTAGCCAGGATGGTCTCGATCTCCTGACCTCATGATCCACCCACCTCAGCCTCCCAAAGTGTTTAGGACTTCTAATGCTTGTATAAGTATAGTAGTATCACATTGTGACTAATGATTTTTATATATATATTCATAATTATATCAGTTCTAAAGTAATGTCTATATACTTTATCATTTTAGAACCATAGCCTAAGTATAAATTGTTGGGAAACCATTAGAAGACAGTTAATAGTCATGCAAACTTAAGTAGAAGGTAAGAGAAATAAGAAGGGAGAGATATTAAACTTAAGTGTATGTTGTTCTATAAATAAGCTCTAGTCTATTTCTAAGGGTAGGTTTTGTTTTGTAGAGTAGAACAGCAAGATTAAAACAAAAGACAGAAACTGCTCCAACTTATGACATGTTAGACATAAAACATACTCATCAGTAGGAGAGACATAAAAAGGCACAGTGAAAAGAAGGGTCTTCATCAAGTCACTTATTTTTTTGTCGGGGAGGGGGTAGGGGGCTTATCTGTAAAGTGAGGAAATGGAGTTAGAAGATTTTCCTACTTTCTTCACATTCTTTTAATGTAAATATTTCTTGTCATCCACATCAGACCGTGAGACTAAGTCTGAGGCAAGGAGGGCTCCTAAGGCTCAAATCATTGCCTATGACCCCTGGAGATCAGGTACCTAGATGGTAGGATTTCTTTGGTTCTTTGGTTCAAATCCATATTAGTCAGGGTTCTCTTAGAGCGACAGAACTAATAGGATATATATATATATCTATAAAGGGAAGTTTATTAAGTATTAACTTACACGGTCACAAGGTTCCACCATAGGCTGTCTGCAAGCTGAGGAGCAAGGAGAGCCAGTCCGAGTCTCAAAACTGAAGAACTTGGAGTTTGATGTTCGAGGGCAGGAAACATCCAGCACAGGAGAAAGATGTAGGGTGGGAGGCTAGGCCCATCTCTCTTTTTCACATTTTTCCGCCTGCTTATATTTGCTGGAAGCTGATTAGATTGTGCCCACCAGATTAACAGTAGATCTGCCTTCCCCAGCCCACTGACTCAAATGTCAATCTCTATTGGCAATACTCAGAGACATATACAGGATTAATACTTTGTATCCCTCAATCCAATCAAGTTGACACTCAGTATTAACCGTCACAAGTCCATCCCTTGTCAACTTGAACCTGTACACATCTCTTGAGATCATACATAATCTTCAAATAAAGATAATAATGAGGTAATAATTACACCTAACATAATACAACCAGCCTTCGTACAACTGGAAATGCATCAATCCCAAACCCAAGTACAATTACATAAAGTTAACAATACTTAAAGGCTTATATGAAGTCAATAAATCTTACGTCACATGATAAAAGAAAAGGAAATGAAGATATTTTCTTAGTACAAGTATATACATGCACAAACATGTTTTTAACAAAAGAAGGAGGAAATACTCATGACAGTTACAGTCCTTGTTTCTGCAGCTGGTCACGTGGCTGTAGCTGGTATTTATGACTACCTTCTTCTACTACCCATTCTGTATTCCCTTTGCCTTCAGCAAGCACCTCAGTAGGTTGTGGGCGTTCTTCCTGGTGGAGTAACCTAAACCTTCATACCTGAAAGGTCTGGGTCATTTGTAGTCCTGCCTGGATTGTACTGTTGTAGTTTCCCATTGACCTTAATCACAGAGCATGGTAATACTCAGAGACGCCCTAATGGATCTCCTGTATTCCATGCATACTCTACTCCATTGTGGAGTAGTAGACTGATTTCATCTTGATAGTCTGGGTCAATCACCCCAGCCAACACTGTAACTTCCTTCTTAGACTGTTGACTTAAAGGTAGGAGAAGCCCAAAGTGTCCAGGTGGCAATCTTAACTTCCAGTTTAATGGAATTGTTGTTGTGTCTCCTGGTGGCAGTGTTCCTCCCTCTGGAACTAAGACCTCTAGGCCAGCAGAACATAATGTCGTGGGAACAGGAAGCAAAAATTTTGCCAGTAGATCACTGGGGTGATGGTGAGTGTTGCCACTTCCACTTCCACCCATTGATTCCCGGACCCGTGAATCCTGGTTATGGGAGAAACAGTACCATATGTTGGATACTGGTTCAGAGCATACATGGTCTTCTGGAGAGCTTTGCCCCAGCCCTGCAAAGTATTGTCACCTAGTTGGCATTGTAATTGTGACTTCAAAAGGCCATTCTACTGTTCTATCTGTCTAGCTACTTCAGGATGATGGGGAACATGGTAAAACCAGTGAATTCCATGAGCACAAGCCCACTGGCGCACTTCTTTAGCTGTAGAGTGAGTGCCTTGGTCAGAGACAATGCTGTGTGGAATACTATGACAGTGGACAAGATATTCTGTGAGTCTATGGTTAGTAGTCTTGGCAGAAGCATTATGTGCAGGATAGGCAATCCCATATCTGGAGTAAGTGTCTATTCCAGTGAGGACAAACCTCTGCCCTTTCCATGATGGAAGAATTCCAATATAATCAGCCTGCCACCAGGTAGCTGGCTGGTCATCCCCAGGAATGGTGCCATATCGAGGGTTCAGTGTTGGTCTCTGCTGCTGGCAAATTGGGCACTCAGGAGTGGCTGTAGCCAGGTCATCCTTGGCGAGTAGAAGTCCATGCTGCTGAGCCCATGTGTAACCTCCATCCCTGCCACCATGGCCACTTTGTTCATGGGTCCATTGGGTCATGACAGGAGTGGCTGTGGAAAGAGGCTGAGTGGTGTCCACAGAATGGGTCATCCTATCCACTTGATTATTAAACTCCTCCTCCACTGAGGTCACCTGCTGATAGGCACTCACATGGCATACAAATATTTTCACAGTTTTTGACCACTCAGAGAGGTCCATCCACATACCTCTTCCCCAAATTTCTGTCACCAATTTTCCAACCATGCTTCTTCCAAGTCCCTGACCATCCAACCAAACCATTGGCTGCAGCCCATGAATCAGTAATATAATCACACATCTGGATATTTCTTCTTCCATGTAAAGTGCACAACCAGGTGCACTGCTCAAAGCTCTGCCCACTGGGAAGATTTCCCTTCACTGCTGTCCTTCAGGGATGTCCTGGAAAGGGGCTGTAGTGCTGCAGCTGTCCACTTTTGGGTGGTGCCTGCATATCGTGCAGAACCATCTGTGAACCAGGCCCTAGTTTTCTCTTCCTCTGTCAATTGATAATAGGGAACTCCCCCTGAGGCCATCAGTGCAGGCTGGGAAAGAGAAGGCAGGGTGGCAGGAGTGGAGACCATGGGCATTTGAGCCACTTCCTCATGTAACTTACTTGTGCCTTCAGGGCCTGCTCGAGCCCGATCAGGTAGATACCACTTCCATCTGATTATGGAATGCTGCTGAGCATGACCCACTTTATGGCTAGATGGGTCATAAAGCACCCAGTTCATGATAGGCAGTTCAGGTTGCATGGTGAGTTGATGACCCATAGTCAAACATTCAGTTTCCACCAAAGCCCAGTAACAGGCCATGAGCTGTCTCTCAAAAGGAAGGTAGTTATCTGCAGAAGATGGCAGGGCCTTGCTCCAAAATCCTAGAGGCCTCTGCTGTGATTAATCTATAGGAGCCTGCCAAAGGTTCAAACAGCATCCCTATCTGCCACTGACACCTCAGGCATCATTGGATCTGAATGAAAATAGAATTTCATTCTATTTTCTTTCCAAATAATTACAATTGATAGAGACTGAAAAAAATGTATAGTGCCCAGTGGTCATATGGCCCAAGTGGCAGAGCAGCTTGCATAGCAGTCTGGATCTGTTGCAGAGCCTTCTCCTGTTCTGGACCCCACTCACCATCTGAATGTGAGCTTTGGTGATATGAGATATGGACACTTCTCTGGAGAAAAGGGTTCATTTTCTCCTTAGGCTGAAACTCATACTTGTGAGCAGCAATAAAGGTCAGTGTAACAAAGGTTGGGGCATGAAAAGCTCCATTGTTTGTTTTGAAAAGAGAGAGCTCATTATAAGACAAATGACTATTTGGACTCAAAAACTTCTGACAGAAACATATCTGCACATTGGTAACTTAAATATCTGTTACAAATGTCTGTGCAAGTCTCTATGTTTATTTAGGGTGACCCTTTAAGATCATGGATTGTGACTGAGAACTGGACCAGACAATTTATTCAATGGATATGTTAAAGTTCTATTAAAATGTCAATGAGAGAAACATTTTCTTGGGCAGTGATGTTAATATTTAAAGTCTGGTTGGATAAGCAGATATTTTCTCTGGCATTAAGTCTTCATTTTCTATTTGCTTTGAAATTTGTTGCTCTTTTTTTTGAAAACATCTATCCACATGTTGTTTCCTAGTTTTCAAGTAAAATTCATGATAAAAGCATTTCCTCCTTTTTTATAATCATGGTTTACTCCTCATTTGAATCTGTCAAGCAATATTTAGTGTTGGCCAATTAAGTGTTTTAGCACTTCACAGATCTGCTCTGTTGATATTCTAGTAGTATCACATCATGGCACAGATAATGAGACATAGGTTTGCTTGGTGCTATGCTCAAAACCTTTGTGTCCCCTGAAATTCATTGTGTTGAAACCTAATCAGTAATGTGATGGCATTAGAAGGTGGAGCCTTTGAGAGGTGATCGGGTCACGAAGACAGAGCATTTTAATTGTTTGTCTGGTTACTCCAAGTGTTTGAAGATTAAAAACTATTTCATTTAAGTTAGTTTTTAGTTCTCCATTAATTATGGTTACATAACTAATTTACATTATAAACAACTGTTATTAAACAAAGAAAAATTTCATTCTATTTTCTGCCCAAATAATTATAACTGATAGAGACTGAAAAAACATGTGTAGTGCCCTTATTAAAGAGGCCCCAGAGAGCTGCCTTGCCCCTTTCACCATGTGAGGACACAGTGAGAAGTCAGCTGTCTGTAGCCCAGAAGAAGGCCCTCACCAGAACCTGACCATGGAGGCACCCTGATCTCAGACTTCCAGCCTCCAGAACCGTGAGAAACAAATTTCCGTTGTTTATAAGCCACCTGGTCTATGGTATTTCGTTATAGAAGCCTAAACTGAGTAAGACACTTTGGCTACCTGGTTCTGGTGGTTCAGCTCTGACCATCAATCAAATTCAGGTTCAGATCTTCTTGGCATTTTGTACTTAAGAGCCATTTATATCTGACATATGGTGGTAAGTTCCTTTTTTTTTTCCCCCTGTTACAGTAATAGTAAAACCTTGGCTGGTTAAATCCTGGGCATTCCTATTTGTGAAGTGCATTTTTGTTTATAGGGTAATTTCTTAATTTCTACAATTTCCAAAAATGTACAAGGGACAGCATGAAACAAGTGTGCACCACGCAGTATCATAGATGCACTTTCAATAACAGCTCCCTTATTTCTCAGCCATGTGGCCTTTGGAAATCCATTTAATCTCATTCTGTCATCTAAAAAAAAAAAAAAGGTGGTATCATCTTCCTGGGGGGCTATGCAAATTGAGATGCAATAAATTTAAAGTACCTGGCATGGAGTGACTACTTAATACTTGGTGGTTAGTTTTATTTATTTTACTTTTTTTGAGACAGAATCTCTGTCTGTCACCCAGGTTGGAGTGCAGTGGCACGATCTCAGCTCACTGCAACCTCGGTCTCCTGGGTTCAAGCAATTCTCCCAATTCAGCCTCCCAAGTAGCTGGGATTATAGGCACCTGCCACCACGCCCAGCTAATGTTTGCATTTTTGGTAGAGACGGGGTTTCACCACGTCGGCCCGGCTGGTCTCAAACTCCTGACCTCAGGTGATCTGCCCACCTTGGCCTCCCAAAGTGCTGGGATTATAGGTGTGAGACACCATGCCTGGACTTGGTGGTTATTTTAATTACAAGAAACACCTCCTCTCCCTCATGTATTCATTGCGTCCTCAACGAGAAGTTTCTCCTTTCTGCAATGACAAAATCTCTGCATTTCAGCTGGATAAATAGCTAGGAAGCTGAGAAATAAATACTTCTGATATTCCAGAGATGGTTGAACATAATCTGCTTCTTTTTAATGAAGCAGATTCTGTTAAGATAAATATTTGAATATTAAGAAATTACACCAGTGATTTAATTTTTCAGGCAAGAATTGAAGTATAAAGCAGTGGATATTTATTTTTTATTTTTAAAATTTTATTATTATTATACTTTAAGTTTTAGGGTACATGTGCACAATGTGCAGGTTAGTTACATATGTATACATGTGCCATGCGGGCAGAAACTCTACCTAATGCTAAATGACGAGTTATTTATTTTTTAAAATGATTATTTGTATTGGCTTTTAGTTTTCTTTTTAAATAAATCTGTACTATTTAGAAAAGATAAAGTCATCACCTACGCAGGTAAAGAAAAAGGAACATCTTTAACGTTTTCTAGATAATGGCATGCATCCTAAACATTGTTATAAAATAATGAAGATTTTGAATTTCTTTTAATAAACCTCTTAAAACAGTGTTATTTCAAAATTATATTACTAACTCTTTTTGTTAGTAGGAATATATATTTCATGAGTTACTTTTTCTAAGCAGTATTTTAGTCAGATAATACATATCTTTTGCTTTAAATGCATTTTATCTGTGTGGAAAGCAGTATTACAGGCTACATCTTTGCCAGTAGTTCATATCACTTTGTCCAAGCAGAAGATACTAAAGCTTGATAGCACTGGGGGCAGAATTAGAGAACTAGATTTGACTGATTAGCTAACAGAAGCTAAGTCCAGTTTCCTAACCTTGAGTGTGAGACACTAGTGCTCCTGAATTGTCTAACTGAGCATCCACCGTGTGGAAGACACCATTTTGGTGTTTCAACAATGTCAGTCAACAAAACAGAGCCAAATTTATTTTCTGCAGAGCCTATTTTTTGGTGTGGGGGCTGTGAAAACAGCATAAAATCAAAATTATCAGGTGGAAACAGACCATACTATTGTCTTAATATAGTCTCTCTGACTTCTTGAAATTTACTGAAAGCTATGGGATCTCTGGCCCATTTTGCTAACTTTCTGATAACCCAGCTCTGCTGTCAGAGTACGAGGAATCAATCCTCCACTTCACCACCCACCCAGAGTGCTGAATGCCACTCACCACCGCAGGGTCGCCAGGGGGCGCAACTGAGTCTACGGCCAAGTGAAAAAATATTCGGCTTAAGATCTGGCCTGTCCCCAGCTGAGCCCATTCCTTAGAAAGGAATATCACTAGATAATTTATTCTGGAGTGTGAGGTGGGGTGGGGTTGCCTTCTTCACTAGGCACAAAAATGTTCCAGGATGCTTGTTAAACCTGGCTCAGGGCAGGAATCTGCACTTTTAACATCCTCCCTAGTCCTTCCTTGCTCTACTAATTGGGATGCGGGGTGTCTGGCCTTTCCTGAGGTGGAAAAAAGAAAAGGCTGGCAGAGCAACAAAGTTCTCTCATAATAATGTGGTTGTTATTGAACAGATATGAGGCTATGGAACTCTGTTCTGAAAGAGTAATAAAAGTTAGGAATACCAGAGATTTCTGTCCGTGACTCCTCAGTGACCATCACAGTTAATGGGCAATATCCTCTTTGTCACCCACAGCTCCAACTGTAACTACTCTGTTGCAAGGGCAGCATTCCTGATAGCGGCGGACTGGGAAGATGTGTGGTATTTGATTAGCTTGGTTTCTCTACTCAAAAGATTGGCATTAAAATTATTTTTGTAATATGTTGCCATATTTTTAAGCCTGAAAATTATATACTAATTTGGATATCTCAATGGGGAAATGACTGCTCTCCCCTTATTCCAAATGTTGCAAATTTAGATTTTTAAAAAGTAATAGATTATATTTAAATAGGTAATTATACAGATAATACCAAAGCCAAAAGAAATAAATGATACAGGTGCACAGTAATTTTGCATACTAGTTTTATTTCTTAGTCTCCCACTTTGTCTCTCTGAATAACCATTTGTACCAATTTAGAGATATGTAGGCATCTATGGTTGTATACCATAAGCATTGCTTTGCACCCTTTTTTAGAATTTGTGGGTTTTTTCTAATGATATGTCTTGGTGATTGGTCTGTGTACACACATATTTATATACCTTTTTCTTGTTAATAGTTTCACCGTAGTCTGTCTATGCATGGGCAGTAATTGATTTTACCTGTCTCCTATTGATGAACATTTGAGTTGTCTTCAGTCTTTTACTCTATTAAGCAATGCTGTAATGAATATCTTTTCACATACATCTTTGCACACTGTGGAAATAAAGACCAACCAAATGAGAAAAGCAAAGGCTATGTATTCAAAGCTTGCTGTAGTAAGGAATCAGCCACTGTCACTTGGTTTGGCAGAGTATCAAAGGCTGGCAGAGGAAAAGGGAATCTTTAAACTAGAAAAAAGTGAAGGCTTCAGGTATAAAGGCTGATTGGAGGCTGTTGGCCTGGGAATGCTATCGGTGAGCTAACTAGAAGTGGGACATCCTATGGAGTTGGTTAGGAGTGCATATTTAGCTTTCTTTGGTTCATCCTAAGTTGAAAGCAGGGACCAAAAAATAGAGAAACTGTCAGTTATTAATCAATAACTGGCCCTTTTTGGGTGATTGCTACAGAGTTAGTGTTTACCTTCCCGGATTGTTACTAGAGATAGCAACCTGGCTTCCTGCAAGTCTGACTTATAACAGGTTATTTATTATAGATAAGGGGGGAGTAATTTCCTGGGCGGGTTACTGCAGCCTGTGAGTCAGAGCTGCATTTTTATATATGGTACAGCTATTGTCCATTTGTATATTCAGTTTCTCAATACCTATGTGAATATATTTGTATATATTTAATATGGTATATACTTACTACAAATAAAATATTTATTTTAGAAATACATTCCTGAAAGTTGAATTGAGTCAAAGATTTATGACATTTAATTTATGTATGTTTTGACCAATTACAAAATTTGATAAATTTATAATTCCCATACTCTTCTGGGGATATAACAGGGTATATTACCAAACTTTTTAAATCTTTGCCTGTCTGATAGGTAAAAATTCATATCTCAGTGTAGTTTAATTTATACTTGAGATTGAGAATGTTTTTTCATGTGTTAAATAATTTTTTTTCTTCTTTGTGAAATATTTATTCATGTCTCTGTTATTAGCATATTTTTAAGTGCTCCCAGGCCAGGGAAGTTATTGATAACAGAGTAAGTCTCTGGAATTATTACCTTAAAACATTCAATTTGGAATCAGGCCTGGGAATGTCTAAAATATTGGGGAATAGAATAGATTATTAGAGAAGTTAACTTCTTTTTAAACACCTCTAACCAGCATCTATCTTTTTCTCTTATGGAGGATTAATAATAGAGGGACTAAAGGTATTGATGATAGAGGCAGAGTTTTAATCTGGAATTCTAATCCATTTTTGCTTTCATTTTCTACGTGAATCTTGAGATATTCAACTATGACATCAGAAATAGAATTATTACTTATCTGAGTGATCTAAAAAAAGCAATAATAAAACAATGAATATTATCTTAGATACTTTTTCCATACAGTATAATCTTAAATAGTCCTGACCAAGTATGTATTTGCATTTGGAAAATGTTTCTGTCTTCATGAAGTTGTATGTATTAGTGTTTATAACTGAGACCAAATAGTGTTCACTAATTAAGGTCCTATTGAGTTTGGTAACTTCTTTATGCATCAATTCCATATGTCCTACACTGTAGACAGTATCTCTGCCACAACACTAGATTTTAGAAAGAAATGAGACCTTATCCGAGACCTTATCCTCACCTGTTCAAGTCACCGTAATTATTAAGATAAGAATTAGCAGTATTTTTCCATAGATTTTACACTTTCTCCTCAACTCTGCTTTGATATTTCTGAAGATTTTCTTTCCAGAAAAATATTTGTTTTAATGTCTCCAGTTTGATAGTTGAAGCAACACACTTGTAAGCCAGAAGTAAATCATAAATCATTCGTCTGTAAGTTTACACCACAATCTTTGATATTTGAAGAGAGGTTATACATACACATACACACATGCAATCAGATGTCTTTCCCAGAAAATGTTAAAACAAAATTTGTCTTACCAGTCTGGGAAAGTTGGCTTCTGTGGGCATTATGAAAGCTGGAATTGCTTTGATGTGATTCTGAATCCAAATGGCCTTTTAATCTAAGCCTCTCTATCATCTCCATCTATGTGTTTGTAATAAATACATCAATTTATGTGGGATACATTCTTTTTATACTCATTATTTCTTCCTTTTCTTGTCACCATCACCCCTTGAAAATTTCTTTTTTTTAATTGTCAATTTACTCTAAAAGCACCTGGATCTGGTCATAGGAAGGTTGAATTGCTCTCCTACTCAAGAAACAAAGCACACATCCTCTGATACTGATGTATTTACTATTTATATTTTTTTCTCTTAGTGTTTCTGATTTTGAGAGAAAGAACTATCATCCTCCTAAAATGCTCGTAATAGTAATAGCTTTATATGTTGAAAAGTTTGCATTACTGTAGTCATGGTTTTTTACAGCTAAAATGCCTATATTGGTTCTTCTTTAATGTTTATGACAGACAACATGATTGGACACTTGTAATGTGCCACACATTGTTTTAAGAGTTTTACATGTATTAATTCCTTTACTCATCATAGTAACCTTATTGGTTAGGAAATACTGTTATTCCCATTTTAAAGATAATGTCACTGAGACACGGAGAGGCTAAGTTACCTGCCCAAGGCCGTAAGCAAATAGGGGAATTAGGATTAAATTAAAATCCACAGACTGGTTCTTGATTACTTCTCTACTCTATTTCTTGAATTACCCATTCCTTCTTGTGAAAATGCAGCTTAATTTGATGAATACTTCTTATCTAGACTTCAGAGGTATAGTAAGTTAAATACTATCTAATGAATATTGAACCTGGACTCAGTATTATTGTACTATTACCTTATTCTATTGGCTAAAATAAGTATTCCAAAAGTACATCAGCTAAGAAGCTGTGAAACTCATTTCTCTTATACATAATTTATCTCTTCATATGTTTAACGATTACAATTATGTCCAAATATTATGTGATAGACTGAATTATCTCTTTTTGCATCTCTGCCCTACCCTTGCCAACATAGCCCATTTTTAAGGTCCAGTTATTTTATTAATTTAGTAAGAATGCATGCTAATTATGATTTATACATATCAATAATAAAATTATGAAGATGATATTAAGGTTAGATTTAATATTTTACTATTTTCCTATGTATATTATATTCATTTGGTCTTCTTACAAACCTCCCCTATGGTCCTAGTTATTATCTTGATCATTTTGTGAGTGAAGGAGCTGAGAAACAAGGAGGAAAGTGATGTGCCCCAAACTAATATTTGGCTAAGGATAGATTTGCACTGGGTACTTTTACAGCTAGTTCTGGGTCATTTCCACAAAAGCATTACTTGGCTGGAGTAAAACTATAAACCCAATTGTATTAGGCACCAAGCAGATCCAGATAGAATTATCCTGTTCCAGAGTTTCATCTTTTATGATGATTGTGGAGATCTTGGGTGACTTTACAAAATAAGAAACTTTTAAAAACTGGCAATAGATAGGATCATTTAATATGAGGATAAAGAATCTAAAGGATAGCCTTAAAAATGTGATTTATAATCATGAAGGTTTTTATACGGAGGAAAATATAATTGCATTTAAAATTTCCCTAGTAAAGGAAATTACCTGCTCTAGAAGCTGTTAACTGCTAGACTGTTGGTTTAAAATTTCAAGGGACAGAGAGGTAGATCAGGAAGGACATGGACTTTGGAGCTGGGCAACCAGGATTGCATTGCCAGATCATGGGGCAAGTAGTAACTTGTCCCATCCTCCTCTTCCTCGTTGGTCAAATAGAAATATTGATACCTACTCAGAAGTTATTGGGTGGTGGTCAGGCAAGAGGGAATCTTTAGCACAGTGTCTAGAATGTTCCAAGTGCCTAGTAATTCTTGGCTCAGGTTCTCCCCTTGGGTAGTTTGAGGACTGGAAATCCAGGCAATATTGAGATTATTAATAAAGATTTCAAGTCAAGCCCTCAAGAACACAAGTCACAGACCCCAAAACTTTTGGAGTTAGCAGGGTTTCTTTAATTAAAGAGTCCTAGTAATATGTTGGTAAGGGGGATGGGAGCTGTGGCAGATGTGTGTGACATAATTTTGTTGCAAATGCAAATTAGTTTTCCTGTCATTTGCTAGCAAGCCCACTGTTTATAATAACTGTTCATAATGAATCAGGCTGATATTTTCTTCATACATTTTCCCTCAAGGCCCTAATAACTCTGCTTCTATGTTTTATGGTTACACATTGTGGAATGAGACTCTGGTGGAAATGCAGTCCCATTTTATAGCCTTTGTAGAAATGAGAGGCAGAGAAGAAAAGCAAAGGAAGCAAATTAGTGGTCAGAAAGGGTTCCAAGACAGCAATGTGTGTTCTTCAAGCCAGGCCTGGAGGGTATATGAGGAAGATAAAGGGTGGTCCAGAAAGCCTCCATCAGTGAAGTAGTTGAACAGAATTAAAACTATAGCAAAGGTTCTTGGACTTGGTTAGAAGGAAACCCTGAGCGACCTGAACTAAATGAGTTCTGTCCAATTCAGCAAATACTTACTAATACCTACTATGTCCCAGATCCTTTATAGCCTTACAGCTGTACCATCCAACATAGTAGTCATTAGCCACATGTGCCTATTGGAATTTAAATTACCGAAAATTAAATAAAATTAAAAACTCAATTCCTCAGTTGCTCTATTTCTCAAGTTCTCAAGCCACAAAACATAGTGTGTAATGACTACTATATTAGATGGCATAGAAGAATATTTTTTTTTATGACAGAAAGTTCTCTTGGACAATTGTGCCCTAGAAGTATGAGGATGACCAATATTTGACTCCTGCCCTTGAGGAATTTATGGTCTTAGAAGGCAGAGGAACATGTAAGGAAGGAAGAAAGTTAGTGGGGCTGTGACAGAAGTATGTCAGCACACTGTTGTGGGAACTGAGGATAGGGTGATGAGGCCTAAAAGAGACAGTGGTCAAATATAGTAGGATGAAGGAAGAACAGCTTTTCAAAAAGGCTATGTAGAGGGTGGAACATGATCAGAGTCTTAAAAGATATGTAGTTTTACCTCAGGTGGAAAAGGGTGGAAAAAGGCATTATAAGCAAAAGTAGAAGTGCGAACCAAGAAGGGAGATGCAGTGTGGAGCGTTGGGAGAAATGCCCCTGTTGTAGCCTGGCTGGAGTGTGCTGCCAGAGCTAAGCCCCAAGAGGCAGGTGGGCCAGGCTGGGTGTTTGGGCACCACACCAGGGGTCAAGACTTGTCTTCTGGGCTGTGAGAAATCAGCGAATGGTTTTAAACAAGAGAATGAATTTTGTGATCAGATTTCTATGAATGGGAATGGAAAAAGCTAGGAGTTTGTTTCCAATGGGATGCACTGCACATTTTACTGTGTCTTCGGTCAGGTTATTTAACCCCTGTGAGTCTCAGTTTTCTCATGTATAAAATGAGACTTATCTCCATCTCATAGGAATGATATGTGGATAAAATAACATAATGTAGGTAAAGCAGCCAGTACAGTTCCTGGCACATAGCAGGTGGCCAAAGAGTCTTAGATCCTTTTCCTTTTGGCCTTACTGTGGCAAGGGAAACAAAAATGAGTGAGGTTTATCTGTACCCCCGGGGAGCTTAGAGCAGGGAGTGGGCCTGTGTGGATGAGTAAAACAAGGACACAAGTAACTATGTCCACACCCTACACACACCCCAAACATACATACACACACACAACCATACTAACACCTAACACATATGCACACACACACACATAATTTCTCCTGCCCAGGGAGATAGTCTAAGCTATGAGTGAGAGGACTGGCATCAACTAACCTGTGGGACAGTTTGTTCCTGCTTCATTTTCAATGAAAGAATGAGTGCTTAAAAGCAGAGAATTGATGGAACCGGAGAAGATGATGTTGCCACAGGGCAGGAAAGAAAAGATGGTCTCCGGTGTGGTCATGAAGTAGCAAGAGATGGGGCCTATAGGTAACCACCCCTCAACCTCCCTCCTCTCCAACAGGCTGCCCTGGGACTCCCTGGCTGGGAGGCAACATAATGAGAGGGCACAGTGGGATGGGGTTCAGAGTGAGGGCATGAGGATTAAGTCTAAGATATGGAGCACTGGCTGTGGAGTTAGTTAGATTTCCTATTTATCGACATAAAAAGCCATCTATATTCAGATTTTATACCAAATCCTGCTTCTTTTCTATAGTCATAATCTTCCTTCCATTTTTAGTTTCCAACATTTCCTATTTTCTGTTAACAATCGAAAACTGTATGTAGTACACAAGAAGCCTAGTTCTCATTGTAAATTTATAGCAATGTTTCCCAATTGAAAACTCTCAACTAGAACATGGCAGGTGGAAATAAAAGTGAAAGGCACAGCACCGTTAGTATTTTTTTTTTTCAAAAACAAACTTTGGCTTAAGTTCTATTAAGTTAGAGTGGTGACAATGGTTATGTCCTATTGATCTAAAGCTCCAAGTAGCATTTATCTCCTGTTAATAAAACACTGAAAAACTAATTGTCAATATGTGCAGTTTGATGCATAATCTTTCAAAATACTTGGTCCATTGAGAATGAATTAAGAAGGACACTAGGAGGTGAACACACTGTTTATCACTGGCTCCTATCAGGACTATTGTGATATGTGGAAGGGTAAAACCAACCACATCACCTTTTCTTTAAGATTGTCAAGAGGCAGTTACAGTCATATACATTTTCTCTTGATTTTTAATGTAGACATCAAAGTATGTATAGATCAGTAATTCTTTTTTCTATTTCTATGTGTTCCTTAGAAATGTAATTGGAGAGATGGCATTGTGTAAGATTGCATACTAGTCTGGCAATTATTTGTCATGAGAAATGTATTAAGAATGATGGATAATTTTAAGGTCCATAAAAAATATGAGGCCTGTTGTAGTCCTAGAATTCCAGAGCTAAATTTTCTTCAAGTCAAATTAGTATTTTGTTTCTGTTTCTTCTTTTGGTGCAGTTGAGGTATCCTAATAAATATTCGGCTTAGAGCATTCCACTTAAAATTTTTAATCTTTGTAGATTTATAGTATTGCGATTCCACTGTCAAAATGACAGATACTGATATGTATTTTAAGGTAATCTTATATGATTATTTTTCAGTGCACTGTATCAGTCAATGCCCTGACAGGTCATAAAATGTTACAGCTCATAAAGAACCAGTATATACTCAATTTTCAAGGTACAGCAGAAGAACTATAAATTAAATTGATTACATAACTATAAAATAATTAGTCCAGTATTTCCAGACAACTTTTTAAAAGAACTTCCCTGCCACAGATCACTGTTTGAAAAGGAACTGGTCCCTATTAAGTCTGTCCAGTTTTGTACACTGTGCTTGAGTTTTTTTCTCTTTTACTTTACATCCCAGTAGCTCCCCTCTACTTCCTTCCTCAAGGTGAGCTCGTTCCCTCCTTGGGCTTCAACTAACTCCTATATGTAGGAGTTTCTAAATTTATATCTCCTCCCCAGACATCTCTTCCAATACATAGATTCAATGCTTCCATGCCTATTAGGTATGTCTTGGATGGGATTTCCCCACAAGCAGACCTTGAGACAAGGGTTTGAGTGCAAGTACTTAATTTGGGAAAGTGTCCCATAGGCCCTGGTAGGGGAGGGAAGATGTGATATGGGAATCAGGAGTTCGTCGTGAGGCAGATTTCCACTGGGGGGCCACTGAAGTTCAGTCCTGATGGGGAGCTCTGGGAGACAGGACACAAGACACCTTAGAATTAACCTCCCCCAGAGGGATCCTCCAGAGGGCTGGGGAGTGGGGTCATTGATCCTCCAGCTCCATCTGTCATTGCCTGAAGACTGCTTTTGCAGGTGTTAAATGGTCACTCTTTCCTTCGGATGTCCCTCCCACAAAAAGGAGCAAAAGCCTTCAGGTGGAAAGTTGCAGGTGTATGTACTGACAAGGTGAGGCCAAAGGGATATAGGTGAGGACAGGGCACTGCAGTGTCTGAGAGTGACACTTCCACCTGAGTGTACACAGATTCATCAAGCTCTGCATATCCAGCCCTAGCTCCCCAAACTTGTTTTTCCTCTACATCCTGGAGAATGCGCTACAGTGTACTCCTTGATCCAGGCAGGAACCCCTCTCCATCCCCCTACTTCCTCTCACGGATGAAATTCTATCAATTTCATCTCTTCAAAGATCCTTACTCTGTTCACTTTTTTCTCTCACCACACTGGAAATCCAGTATTTTCCCCACACTTTTCTGTATTAGCCTCTTGACTTTCTCTCTGCCTTGAGTCACACCAACCTATAATCTTTCCTATAGACAGAGTGAGGGTTCCAAACTGAAAATCTGACCATGTTCATTCTCTGCTTAAAGTCATTGATGATAGCACAGGGTACTGCATGTGAGGTCCTTCATGGTTTTATATCATCCCGTATCACTATTCCCACCTCACCATATACTGTGCATGCCACCCTGGGTCTTTGTGTAGGCTCCACCTGGTCCTGGCTCATCACCATAGCTCAGGTGTCACCTCCTGAGGGTGTCCTTTCCTGACTCCTCACCTTCCCCATCCCAAGCTGTGCAGCTGCCCCAAATGTGGCTTTGCTTGCTCACATTTCTTAGCATACCACAGTGTTATTGCCTCCTTCTTTGACTATCTCTTCAACTCAGCTGTTAAGTTCTCTGAAGGCAGTGACTCTATATTAATGTCAAATTTTTAGCACCTAGCACAATACCTGTTCATAATAGGTGCTCAATAAATATTTGCTGAACCAATTTGCCTATATAAGCCTCTGTAATCCTTAAAGCAGTCCTATAAGGTAGGTATTACTGGCTTTACAGGCAAAAATTTTGAGGTCAGGTAGGCCAAACATCTTGCTCAAGATCGCAGACCTAATAAATGATCAAATCAGGATTTGAACTCAAATCCGTCTCCCAAGTCCATATTCTTTCCATTAAATCATGTTAATTTTTACATTGTAATGCTCTAGATACTTCTTCTATTTCACTGTTTATGAAATTAAATGGCCTTAATCTTTTTATTTTTCTAGAAATAAATGTGTTCACAGGTGGCATCTAGAAATTCAATAAATATTCAGTCTCCAGGAATATGAGCCCTGCAAGGTTTGGTGTGGAGCCTGCTGAGAAGAGCCTATGACTTTCTAGTGGAATTTTTATGCTTTGGGTTAGATCATGGGAATGAATATCCATGGTTAGTTTGTGATGCATCTAAGCTGTGGAATTTCAATGAGTATCCATCAGTTTGACAGTCAAAAGGATATATATGAGGGCCTTGGGGGTGGGCAGGGTGAAGCAATTTGGAAATATAAGCAGTAAATTTTCACACATCACTGATTGTGACAGTGAAATGATTATCCATCAATTACAAAGCAGTTAAGTAGATATGTTTCTGGGTTTTTACTGCACTGTTTATGTATCCAGTTCTCCTGGAAGAGTTGCTCCTGCATCATAGTCCATGCTGGACAGCCTGCATCAGTTTCAGTGCCTGTTGGAGACACAGAGAGACTATTGGATTTAGGAACAAATAAAAGGCAAAAAAGAAGAGATGATACTGAAAGACTGTTACTTTTCAAATAAATCATGTACCTGGGAAATTATAAGGAAACAATTTCCCCAAATAAAACCATGTCAGTCTAACAAAAGGTTATTTTTTTAGTGTTGCATAACATAAAAGAAAATGCCAATTTACTTATATAAAAAAGTTATTAAGTTGTTTATAAATTCAAAGTTGCAAAGTACATTTCTTTACATCCATGTAAGTTCTGGGTCCATTGGATCCCTGATAAAAAATATAAGAATTGGAAAATTCAAATAAGAATTTAGGGGAAGAATAAATGACAAAATAAATGTGAGACACTTAGAGTAGTATCTGGGATATAGTAAATAGTCAATAAATGTTTGCTATGATTATTATTCACATTATTATAAGAAATACAATTGCTGAATGAGATCTTGTTCTTCTGTCATGCTGACATTAATCAGAGTTCAGCTATTAGCAATTTCACACACATACACAAACATACACACACACACACACTCCACTGACTCTTCCTATGAGGCTGAAATTAAAATTCGTGATTTATCAGATACAATACCATCCTCAACGAACACAGCAGATACAAATGACAAGTAGAATATAGCAAAGACTACTCCTACACATATGGGCCTTCTTACAATACTTGTTTCAGAGGTATTTGCTTGAAGTTATCCTTTAGTTTAAATCTTTGCATTAGTCTGATATCAACAAAATATCATAGGATCCTTTCTGTTAACCAGCTCTGTCGGTGGAAAAAAAATATTTCATATTAAATTGGAGACAGGAAGTACTAACAAACATTCATGTGATTTCTCAAATACACATTGGAATTTAGGAGGTGATTAATTAATCTTTAGTCCTAATGGGCTGGACCTGTAGTTCAAATATTTAATTCTAAGTTCTAAGAATGAACGATATCTCCCTGTTGAGCCAAAAAAGATAATTAGTAGAAAAGAAAGCAAGCAATAACACATACCTACCAGTTTTAAAACATATAGCTCAATATCTTAGTCAAATATATTGCCAAAGATCATGTTTTATGGGGAAAAGAAAAACAAAACAATATTACATACCCCTAAACTTGTAAAGCCACAAGAAAATATGTCATTAAAGAATCATCTTTATCATATGGAAATATTGCTTGATGATATCTGCTCATTCCAAATTGACCTGACAGATCATCTGAAAGTGTACGAAGAGGTTGTTGGCGAGACTGTCTGACCAGTTGATTTTGCATGTCAACTCATGACACAAGGGAGAGGCGATGAAGATAATCTATAGAGATTTTCTATAAGAGACAGTTATATATTTGGTTTGATATGCACATCATAGGCCTTCAAGCTTGCTCCCATATCAGTGCTGGAAAATCCTGCCCTTTAAGAAACAAACTGGTGATTTTTAAAAATTTAGATGCAGTATTACTATTATTATTTTGGTATACACATCTATGAGTTTTGACACATGCATAGATTCAGGTAACCACCACCACAACAGGTATATAGAACAATTCCATACACTCTCCAAAATTTCCTCATGCTGCCTCTTATAGTCAAATCATCCCCTAACCCCAATGCCTTCTATGAAAAGACATATAAATGAAATTATTCAGCATGTAACTTTTAGAGACTGGCTTGTTTCACTTAAAATAATGCTTTTGAGAGTCATTCACATTGTTGCATACACCAATTGTTTGTGCCTTTATATTGTCGTATTCCATCGTATGGTTGTACCATACAATTTCAATAGATTTGTTAATCTAGTCTCCAATTTAAGGGTATTTTAGTTGTTTCCAGCATTTAACTACAGATATAGACATTCATGTACAGGTTTTTATGTAGACATAAGTTTTCTTTTTCTTCTTCTTCTTCTTCTTTTTTTTTTTTAATTTTGAGACCGAGTATTGCTCTGTCACCCAGGCTGGAGTGTAGTGCTGCGATCTCAGCTCATGACAACTTCTGCCTCTGGGTTCAGGCAATTCTCCTGCCTCAGCCTTCTGAGTAGCTGGGATTACAGGTGTGTGCCACCACACCTGGCTAATTTTTATATTTTTAGTAGAGCCAGGGCTTCACCATGTTGGCCAGGCTGGTCTCGAACTCCTGACCTTAAGTGATCTGCCTGCCCTGGCCTCCCAAATGTTTTCATTTCTAAATAACTAAGTTATTTACCCTTGGGGCACTCTGAAAACTGCCAAACCATTTTCCAGAGTGATTGGACCATGTACTTCTACCAGCAGCATATGAGAGATCCAACTCTGCCACATCCCTGCACTTGGCATGACCAGTCTCTTTTAGTTTAGTCATTCTAATAGATGCCCTGTCTTTTTTTTATATACTTTAAGTTTTAGGGTACATGTGCACAATGCACAGGTTAGTTACATATGTATACATGTGCCATGTTGGTGTGCTGCACCCATTAACTCGTCATTTAACATTAGGTATACCTCCTAATGCTATCCCTCCCCACTCCCCCCCAGTCCACAACAGGCCCTGGTGTGGGATGTTCCCCTTCCTGTGTCCATGTGTTCTCATTGTTCAATTTCCACCTATGAGTAAGAACATGTGGTGATTGGTTTTTTATCCTTGCGATAGTTTGCTGAGAATGATGGTTTCCAGCTTCATCCATGTCCCTATAAAGGACATGAACTCATCATTTTTTATGGCTGCATAGTATTCCATGGTGTATATGTGCCACATTTTCTTAATCCAGTCTATCCTTGTTGGAAATTTGGGTTGGTTCCAAGTCTTTGCTATTGTGAATAGTGCCGCAATAAGCATACGTGTGCATGTGTCTTTATAGCAGCATGATTTATAGTCCTTTGGATATATACCCAGTAATGGGATGGCTGCGTCAAATGGTATTTCTAGTTCTAGATCCCTGAGGAATCGCCACACTGACTTCCACAATGGTTGAACTAGTTTACAGTCCCACCAACACTGTAAAAGTGTTTCTATTTCTCCACATGCTCTCCAGCACCTGTTGTTTCTTGACTTTTCAATGATCACCATTCTAAGTGGTGTGAGAAGGTATCTTATTGTGGTTTTGATTTGCATTTCTCTGATGGCCAGTGATGATGAGCATTTTTTCATGTGTCTTTTGGCTGCATAAATGTCTTCTTTTGAGAAGTGTCTGTTCATATCCTTCGCTCACTTTTTGATGGAGTTGTTTGTTTTTTTCTTGTAAATTTGTTTGAGTTCATTGTAGATTCTGGATATTAGCCCTTTGTCAGATGAGTAGATTGCAAAAATTTTCTCCCATTCTGTAGGTCGCCTGTTCACTCCGATGGTAGTTTCTTTTGCTGTGCAGAAGCTCTTTATTTTAATTAGATCCCATTTGTAAATTTTGGCTTTTGTTGCCATTTGTTTTGGTGTTTTAGTCATGAAGTCCTAGCCCATGCCTATGTCCTGAATGGTATTGCCTAGGTTTTCTTCTAGGGTTTTATGGTTTTAGGTCTAACATTTAAGTTTTTAATCCATCTTGAATTAATTTTTGTATAAGGTGTAAGGAAGGGATCCAGTTTCAGCTTTCTACATATGGCTAGCCAGTTTTCCCAGCTCCATTTATTAAATAGGGAATCATTTCCCCATTTCTTGTTTTTATCAGGTTTGTCAAAGATCAGATGGTTGTAGACGTGTGGTATTATTTCTGAGGGCTGTGTTCTTTTCCATTGGTCTATATCTCTGTTTTGGTACAGTACCGTGCTGTTTTGGTTACTGTAGCCTTGTAGTATAGTTTGAAGTCAGATAATGTGATGCCTCCAGCTTTGTTCTTTTGGCTTAGGATTGACTTGGCAATGCAGGCTCTTTTTTGATTCCATGTGAACTTTAAAGTAGTTTTTTCCAATTCTGTGAAGAAAGTCATTGGTAGCTTGATGGGGATGGCATTGAATCTATAAATTACCTTGGGCAGTATGGCCATTTTCACGATATTGATTCTTTATACCCATGAGCATGGAATGTTCTTCCATTTGTTTGTATCCTCTTTTATTTCATTGAGCAGATGCAAGGCTGGTTCAACATACGCAAATCAATAAACGTAATCCAGCATATAAACAGAACCAATGAAGAAAACCATGATTATCTCAACAGATGCAGAAAAGGCCTTTGACAAAATTCAACAACACTTCATACTAAAAACTCTCAATAAATTAGGTATTGATGGGATGTATCTCAAAATAATAAGAGCTATCTATGACAAACCCACAGCCAATATCATACTGAATGGGCAAAAACTGGAAGCATTCCCTTTGAAAACTGGCACAAGACAGGGATGCCCTCTCTCACCACTCCTATTCAACATAGTGTTGGAAGTTCTGGCCAGGGCAGTCAGGCAGGAGAAGGAAATAAAGCACATTCAATTAGGAAAAGAGGAGGTCAAATTGTCCTTGTTTGCAGATGACATGATTGTATATCCAGAAAACCCCATTGTCTCAGCCCAAAACTCCCTAAGCTGATAGGCAACTTCAGCAAAGTCTCAGGATACAAAATCAATGTGCAAAAATCCCAAGCATTCTTATACACCAATAACACACAAACAGAGCGCCAAATCACGAGTGAACTCCCATTCACAATTGCTTCAAAGAGAATAAAATACCTAGGAATCCAGCTTACAAGGGACATGATGTCCTGTCTTCTAATCATGTTTCTGTCCTCTGTACCATTAGGGACCACCAGTGGCAACTTTCCACCCAAATTGTTCCACCAAGAAATCTTTGAACATGTTCTCCAATTTATAATATTAGCCCTGTTTCAATCCAAAATAGTGTGTGGTGGCATGAGATACTCCTAAAGACTATCAAGCATTGTAAAATCATTATCTTCTTCGTCTGAAGACATCCAGAATATTTCTCATTGTTAGTAATTAAGCCCTGCTACTGTGTAAATGAGCTTTCATCTTTGTTTACCATGGGTCTGCCTGAAAAATGTCAAAGAACACTCAATAAAACTTTCCATGTCCTTCAATCTTAACTTCATTATGACTTGTGATGAAGTAAGAGCATGGTTCCTTCCTTTCTAGAAATCTTGCATTCAACAAATATTTGCTGAGTTCCCTTTGTGCCAGGAACTTTTCTAGATGCTGGGGATACGGCAGTGAACAAAGCAGACACAAATGCTTGCCTTTACAATCCTAAAAATTTGGGAGTGGATCAGGCAATAGAAAATACATAATTGAAATAGGTAATATTTCAAATGCAAAGTGTTATAAACAATAAAGCAGGGAAAGAGGTTACAACCTTAAATAGTGGGGACAAGGAAAGCTTCAGTGAGAAGGTGATGCTTGAGTAAAAGGTGATGTCAAACCCTGCAGAAACCTCTGTAATTGTGTTGCCGGCAGAGGAAACAAGTGTACAGGCTTTGATGTAGGACCGTCTACGTCATGAGTGAAGAGCGGTAAAGTGCCAGGGTGTCTGGTGGACAGAGTGAATAAGAACATGGTATAAGATGAGGTTATGACTATATTGTGTAGAACCTTATAAGCCACTTTAATGATTTTGGGTTTTGTTCTAGACGGGAAACCATTGGAAGGCCTTGAGAAGAGAAGTGATGTGATAGGACCTACTCTATCTTCTATGCAGTGCATAGACTTGGGGCCAAGGGTAGATTCAGAAAGACTAGTTTAGAGACTGTTATAGTAATCCAAGCAAGAGATAATAGTGGCTTGAATCAGGCTGGTACCCAGTGGAAACATGAATCCAGCCAAGCTGAAGGAATACCTTTTATGTGAACATTCTGATAATATATTGGATGCTATGGTTTTTAAGACATTTTCCACATGCTGGAATATTACCAATGTTTGGATCTCACCAAATACAAAAGGCTGTGCTTGAGGAATCTGTATCATCCATGCTGAAATTCTAAGTGAAAGAAGCTATGTCACTAATATAATCTTGAATTCACATACACTGGAAAATGTGACATCTATAGCTTATAACTGAGGAAGAAACCTAAAATGTGGTGCCTCAAGCAGATGACACAATCCATCACCATTAATGAGGACATTTCTCCTAACATTTTGTAGCCAATAATGTAAATATTCATAGGTTCCATGGCCATTTACAGCAGACTGATGAAACAACCAAATGAAGCCATCTCCAGGTTTTCATCTGTTTTGTGCATGGCTATTCCATCAAAGAATTACTATATTATGAGCCCCTTTCAGAAACTACAAAGGCCTTTGACATGTTCAAATGATGAAAATTGTCTTTGCCAAGCATAACATCATTAGAATTAAAAAAAAAAAAAAAAACCTTGGTGTTCTTTACTCAAATGGCAGCACTGTGATGCTTGGTCACACATCTGATTTTTGCTATTTTGGTAAATAAAGAAACTCCTTGTTTTCACATCAGCAAGCACTGCTGTTAGTCCCTGTCAGCAGGCTTGAAAGAAATATTGTCCAAGGTCAGAAGCATCACCTTCTCTTCAGAACCACTTTTATAAGAAGTTTCATTAAGAAGTGGGAACAGAATGTGAAGTTTTTCTCCTTACATAGAAGATCTCTGATTTTCTACCAAACTTCTTGAAACATGAAACTGCATTTCAGGCAGCAGCTTCAGTTAAGAAAAAAGTTCCCTTGGGTAATAGTTTGATAGATGTGCCTTCATGCATTGACTTATTTAACAGATGTTTTAAGTCCATGGTATTCAAAATTAGGGTATACAACAATTTTTCAAGGAGTGTGAGGGCACGTTGGAATTTAATAGATAAAACTTCTTAAAATTTCAGCTTCCTGTTAAACTTTTCTCTAGAAGTAATCTGCCTGAGAGTGTATTTCAGATTATTTCTCCTTTTTCACTTATTCTTTCATTACTGCTTTTGTCCACTGAAAAGAAGATATAGCTCTCATCCACTCAAAATTTAATGTGTTGCATTTCCCAAGGTGCAAAACGTCTAAGATATAAAATACAATGATGATTTTGAGAAAGGTAGTAATTCTAATAACCAGGAATTATTAGAATTATTAGAATAATTCTAATAACCAGGAATTATTTTACAAGTCAGTTTTCAATTATTAGTTTTTAATAAAGTTGAAGAGGACCTAATCAACTCTCAGTTGCTAGATCATTAAATATACTGTTTGATGACAGACAATGACTTTAAGAGGATAACTAGGAAGGATTTTAGAGACTTGAGCAACATTACTACTGTTCAATCTCATCTACATATGTATATAAATAAGTTTTCTAGGGCTTATTAAAATTGGTAAATAAGAATAGAATAGATGGAAAACCCTCTCTCATTTTAAGAGGTAATACTCATTCAAAGATAGATGAACTAACAGAAAAATGATGTGATTTTTCTCATTAAATGATGCAATTCCAATAAAAATAATTTTATCTCTAATAATTATCAAAATTCAATTTATATTGTTTCAAGAATCAATTTTATATACTACATATAATTATGATTATTAAAACTAGAGGAAATTTTAAATACTGAAAGTTTATAGCCATAAGAAATAAATTCTAAAAATGCATTCACATTTTATGTAGAGAAATAAAATTGAGTAATCAATAAAAGACTTTTATGCATAAAAATTACAATAAATTCAGATAGAATTCTATAAAGTAAAATGTCAAGTTTCTCATCTGTTCACTCATATGTCCACCTTTATTCTAAATCTTTCAGCATTTTTATCAGTTATTTTCACCTCTCTCTTGGAAAACTCCAGCCTCCAGGCCATCCTGGAGTCTGTTTCTATTGACTGTTTCCTCTCTTGGCATGAGTCACATTTTTTTGCTTTTCTGTGTGCATTATAATTTGGGGGGGCGCAGAGAATGTTTTGTGTAAGAGATCAGTAGAAACTGAAGAAAATAAAATTTCTTCCAAAAAGTAAAACATTCCTTTTTCTAGAGTAGGAACCTAGGCAATTTGAACCATATTTGAATACTCAGGGCTTTTTTGCACTGGTGGTTTTACTTGGTTCACCACTGTTTTCAAATATTTTGAGGATATGATCAACTTCTCTTTCAACAGAGCCTGGTATCAGAGCATTGGAAAGATTCCAGAGACTTTCCTGAGTTTTAGAGTTCAGCTGCCAAATTTTGGAACTGTGGGTGATATCTGCCTGCTTACGGCCCAGCTGGCATGATTTTGAGTCCCTGGAGTGTTTTCTTTGCTATCTCACCCTCCCCTTGCTTTCTGCACTTGGGGAGACATCTTTAAGCCTAATGGTCCCTTTCCTAGCTTTTGAAGTGCTGCCGCCTTACTGCCCTATGCTCTCTGAAGACCTGGAATGTCCTGGAAGGGTTTCTCTTAGCAGTTGAAAGCTTAGAGTGCCTCTCTCAACTCCCCTGCTGTGTGCCCCGCCAACACTCCTCACCTTTTGAAGGGGATTTGACTTTGGGCAAATACCTTAAAGAAAAACTCTTTCTCAGCTTTTCTTGTCTGGTCCCCTTACTTTGGGCAAATTACCCCTCATACTGTGACCTACTTAAGACCTGTGAGTGAAAGTTGGCAGGTAGATGCATGGTCACAGGGTCATGGGATTCCTGAGGGTACCATCCATCAAGCCAGCTCACACAGGGCTGTTCAGTAGTTGTTAAGTGTTGGGCTAGCTTCTTTCTACCCCCATCTGTGGGAGGAGCCATAGGTCTTTCCTCTTCCCTGAAGGGTTTGCCACTTTCTCGAGCTTCGTTTACCTAGACATCTTTATAACTGATCTGGCTTTTTGTAGCCTATTTTATTATCTATTTATTTATTTAAACTTTTTGCTTGTTAGGGTGGGAGTGATGATCTTTTGCTACTTTCTGTATCTAAACCAAAAGTCCTGTTCAAATATGTATTAAAACTGATGATTGTGGTTATCAAATCATTTGGCATTTAGATTCCATTAGTTTCACCTAAAAATGACATTTTGATTTGATTTTAAAATATTTATATAAACACTATGTCAAGAATTATATCCTTCAGAACTGTTTAAGCTTATGATGAAAAATTTTAGATGTCAACTTAAAAATATGTAAGGGAATATATATAGTTCTTCATTATTCTATTGGGAGTACATGAGTGAACTCAGGAATAATAGCAAAGGTAATCTTTTTATTCTTTCTTGATTAGGGCAGTGTGGGTGACTGGCTTTGCTTTGCTTCACACTGTGGGTCTTCTGGGCTCAGTTCCAATCCCCTTTCTGCAGCCTGGAGTGGAACAGAGGGTTCAAGACCTTGTCAGCTTCTCACTAGACAGAAATTTCAGGCATTTTGACTAATCTAGAACTCTTTTAAAGAACAGATCTTAGAAGCTAACACGTTAATTTTGTAATTTTCATCTTAAAGATGTATAATTTTAAATATCCCTGATTTAGATAAAGCTAAGTTTCAATTTCTAACTCAAATATAATCCATTTTAGAATTCAGAATTGCTCCTGGAAAAAAGAAATTGTTACAGCAAATTTTGCTTTACTAAGTCAGCAGTGTGAAATATTCTGATCCAAAATAAACACTGTCTGACATATAGTGCAGGAAATATCTTTACATTTTTAGTATATCACCTATAATACAATATTTACTCAATTTTCTTTTTTTAAAACCAAAGTTTTCATTACATAACATTTAATGCAACCAGATTTTAAAGGTTATAGAACCGCTTTTTATTACTCAGACAAAGAAGAAAGGTAACAACTTTTAGAAAGATTGTTGACTTTGCCATTTGATAATGAACAGCAATTTAGCAGAATTATTTGCAAGTAAATTTTGGCTATATTGTTTATTTTATTTTAGAATGCTTCACATGGTGCCAAATGACTAGACAGTCCACAGTAGAAAAAGTTATTACTTCTTTTAGTCTTTATTAATTCAAGACATAATTATTTGGGATGAAAATAGAATAAAATTTTTCTTTTTTTAATACCCATTGTTTATAATGTAAATTAGTTATGTAACCATAATTAATGGAGAACTAAAAACTAACTTAAATGAAATAGTTTTTAATCCTCAAAACACTTTGGAGGTAACCAGACAAACAATTACAATGCTCAACTATAAATGTCTTGTTTTTTTTCAGTAAAGCAATTTATTCTGTGCCAACCGCTGTGCCAGGCCCTTTACAAGATCACTCTTATTTCACCCTCATAATACGCTATGAAATAAGCTTCCTTTTATCTACATTCTGGAGATGAGAAGGCTGAGTTTAGAGGGGTCAGGCAACTTGTCTAAGACATAACTAGTAAGTTGCATAGCAAGGGTTTAAACTCAGACCTAATTTCAATATACTTAACCATACTCCTTCTCCAGTGTATTTTATGTATTGAGTAGTCACATTCTAAGACACCTAGTATTAAATGTTGTTCTTGACATACATACATTTTAATTAGTTATTTCTGCAAAGTCATAAAACACTCCAAACTCAATGCTTTCAACAATCAGCATCTATTTTTCTTGATCGTAGGAGTGTAGGAAAGCCAGGGAGACCCTGTTTCAAGTTGCTGGTCAGCTGGGCTTGGCTTCAGGCTTAGAACTGGGTTCACATCTGCTCTATGTGTCACCATGTTCTTCTTGGGCCAGCATCTCCCTAAGGCATGTTCTTTTGATGGCAAATCACAAGAGGGCAAGCAGACAATCCAAACCATGCAGCCTTGCCTAATATTTCTTGTATCACAGTCCATTAACCAAAGGAAATCACAGGACCAAGTCCCAAGTCACTGGAGCAGGGAAGTATATGTCATCTGGAAGAGAAAGAAGGGAGAATGAAGAAAGTATTTCTAACACAAATTCAATCTATCACATATTACTTGGACAATGCTATAGATTGAATGTTTTCCTTTGTTATCAATATTGCACATGCTTAATCTGCACGTCAGTGTGTATATATATCTCAGATCTATACAGAATATAAACAGAGGCATATTATAAATTATCAAGTAGTGTTTCTGTTTTTATGGATAATATTTGAATGTTGATAGTAATTTTTAAATTAAAAAATGGGTTTCTATTATTTGGAGGAATAACTCTAATAAGGCTTAAAATTATTTTAAAACAAGATAGGTTACTTAGTAACAAACATACACAAATATAAAAATTAAATTGTATTGGCTAGGCGCAGTGGCTCATGCCTGTAATCCAGGCACTTTGGGAGGCTGGGGCGGGCAGATCACCTGAGGTCAGGAGTTCGAGACCAGCCTGACCAACATGTCTCTACTAAAAGTACAAAATTAGCCAGGCATGATGGCGCATGCTTGTAATCCCAGCTACTCAGAAGGCTGAGGCAGGAGAATCGCTTGAACCCAGGGGGCGGAGGTTGCGGTGAGCCGAGATCGTGATATTGCACTCCAGCCAGGGCGACAATAGGGAAACTCCATCTCAAAAAAAAAAAAAAAAATTAAGTTGTATCTTGGTTTCTAATACCATTCCCCAGTAAAGGAGAAAAGTATGAAAACAGTGGAGAAACCTGACAAACACTACCTCAACTAGTTCATCAAAGTTAATATAAACAGCAATGAGTCATATTGGGGGTATTTACTCTTAACATGATGAACAAAGTGGCACTTCATGTCTGTTGATCTTTCTCCCCAAACACACAATCCCAGTCTAATCATGAGATAAACATCAGACACATCCCAGTTGAGAGACATTTGACAAAATACCTGACTAGTACTTTTCAAAACTGTCAAGGTCCTCAATAGCAAGGAAAGTCTAATAAACTGTCACAGTCAAGAGGAGCCTAAATAAACATGGTAACTAAATGTAAACTGGTATCTTGGATAGAATTCTGGAATAGAAAAAGTTCATTAACTAAAAGCTAAGAAAGTCTGAATGAAGTATGTACTATAGCTAATAGGAATGTGTCCTTACTGGTTTATAAATTGTGACAAACGTATCATACTAATATTAAGATGTTAACAGTAGGGAAATTGGGTATGGGAGTTATGGGAACTCTGTACTGTCTTCACAATTTTCTGTAAATATAGAACTATTCTAAAATAAAAGTTTTACTTAAGAAAAATGTTGGCTGGGCACGGTGGCACACGCCTGTAATCCCAGCACTTTGGGAGGCTGAGGCGCATTCAAGACCAGCCTGGCCAAGATGGTGAAACCCCATCTCTACTAAAAATTCAAAAATTAGCTGGGCGTGGTGGTGGGTGCCTGTAATCCCAGCTACTGGGGAGGCTGAGGCAGAGAATTGCTTGAACTCGGGAGGGAGAGGTTGCAGTGAGCCAAGATCGTGACACTGCACTCCAGCCTGGGTGACAGAGCAAGACTCTGTCTCAAAAAAAAAAAAAAAAGAAAAATGCTAAATCGCAGTGACATAAAGAAATTAAAAGCCAAAGCCAAATACTAGAAAAAAAAATTTTTAAGAAAGAAAATTGCATTGATACTAAATATTGTGGCACTTCGGGAAACCAATCAACGCTAAAAACGATATGACTATTGTTATCTTAGTCTCACTGTGATCATTAATATTTGACCTTTAAACATTTAGAGCTGGGCATCCTGAAGGAATTGCCCTAGGACTCCCCAAGGCAGAGCCAGGAAGGTTCAAATGTTAGTCTTAATGGAAGAGAAGCTCAGTTTTTTTTTACAGCAGTGTCTCTCTTTCTCTCTCTCTCTCTCTCTCTCTCTCACTCACTCATTCACTCACACCCTCATGCTCATTTGTGAGGTACCACCGATCCTCACTGTGGTTTCTGTTCTCTCCTACTGCTTCTGAGTCCTTATATCTCACCCTCACCTATTTTATTCTCCCTGATGGCACTTCTGGCAAAAGAAATCTGTATGTATTACTTTGTGCTTCTCAGACAGGAGTGCAGACAGGAAAGGGCTAAGAGGAGGGCCTGGGCCTGAGGATGTGTCTTGGAACATCCCAGGGCCACTAAGAGAAAGCTGGCTAAGAACATTTGACAACTTCTCCAAAACCATTAATAGTATGGAATGAATGAAAAACTCCATTAGTTGGCTGGGCGCTTTCACTCATGCCTGTAATCCCAGCACTTTGGGAGGCTGAAGGGGGCAGATCATTTGAGGTCAGGAGTTCGAGACCAGCCTGGCCAACAGAAGGAAACCCTGTCTCTACTAAAAATACAAAAATTAGCTGGGCATGGTGGCATGCACCTGTAGTCCCAGCTACTTGGGAGGCTGAGGCAGGAAAATTGCGTGAACCTGGGAGAGGAGGTTGTGTCAAGATGGTGCCACTGCACTCCAGCCTGGGCAAGAGAATGAGACTCTGTCTCAGAAAAAAAAAAAGAAAAAAGAAAAAAAGAAAAACCCCATTAGTTGCATCAGAAACAATGAGGAATAAGCACCCTTTCAGGTTTTTTTTTTCTTAAAAAAAAAAAAAAAAAGCAATACAACATTCAATGAAAGATTTGGAAGGATTTTGCTACAGCCGAAACTGCTCCCAGTAGCACTCCTCCCTTTCTCTGTCCTATATTTTACTGTTTCTCTTGAGAGAAATCATGACATCCCATTTCTGGTTCATATGGTTTAGGAAAAAAATGAAAGCATATTGTCAGTCATATAATTGATATACAGTGCTTCTTGACATGCCTATTTTTAATTAAAACACATTTTAATTAAAAAAAGAGAGCAGTTTTAAGAAGAGAAGCTTTCTGCCAGATGGTGATTCCTAATTTACCTCAAATGTGTTGGGAGCCGCATGATTCATTTTGGATTAGCCTGACTTAGTGCATCGTAGAGAATAATAATTTTGTTATGAAAAATAATCACCCACAGCACCCCCTTTGGGTGAGGGAAATACGTGTGTGTGGGTGTGGTCAGTGGCATTTGTGGGTGTGTCTTACAGATATTCACCTGGGAATTCTAATGGCATAAACAAGACTTTTTTGTAAAACGTTAATGTGTGCACTCTCAAAAAGGAAATAGACTAGTGTTTCCTCATTAATAAATAAAATCTGGGGGATATCAGTTTCAGGTTTGCAAATGCAAGATGACATTTGAGTGCCAGGTGTCAGGGCCAAGAAATACTGCCAGACAAGGATCCACTCATAGTGGCAGTCATGACTTCCAATGAATCCGAGTGGAGGAATTACACTGTGCCTCCCTTATTTTTTTTCCGCAGCTTCACATCTCACTGGCTTCATGACCAGACCTGAATTTCTCACCAACTCTGTCCTCCACAAATATATATGCTTCATATGTTCCACATCTATAGACGATAGTACGTGCACATTGTACCATACCATAGTACTGTAGGAAGTACACCAGTACATATGGTTCTACATTTATGACCACAGTAGGAGAAAACAAGGTGCACCAAAGGGTAGCAGTTGTTCAGAAGACTTTCTCCTTGTTCAGCAGAGTGAAACTGACACTGAAGTATTCCAGATCATAATCTCAGCATGTATTTAAACCCAACCTTAATTATCGAAGTCTTACATTTCAGAGAAAAAAACAAACTAGTATTCCGTGGATGTGTGACTTGGGTGAACTACTTAACCTCTGTGAGTTAATTTGTCCAATTGTGGAAAGAAACGATAATACCTGTCTACCACACTAGTTGTAAGGAATGAGTGGAATAAGGGCTACGAAAATATTTTGTAATGGTCAGAATGTGAAATACTTTATTAATAGTGACTTCAGAAACTTTTTTTTAGTTCTACTGGATTTGAACATTCTATGGTCTGAATAAAAGATAGTGGCATTGATGTCTTAAAATATCTCTTCTGAAACTCAGGAGAAATGAGGCAAAAGAGAAAATACTCCAGGTTTTTTGGACCTCTAATGAGCCAACGTAATTATTTTTAACCAAGCTTTGGGGTCTATAATTTTTAATCATTCACAAGAAGCTCACAATTTCCTTTTTTTGTCCAGATTCAATTCCTGAGTTATGACTGGTGTTAAAATAGCCCTACAAAGGAGAGAAGGCATTGTCAAGAACAATCATGCCTTTCAAAAAAAGATGTCATTTTATTCACAATCCTGGTATGAAATATATCCCAATTTGAAAAGAGGAAATTATTCAATGGATTCAGTGAGAAGATTGTGCTTTATGGTGTCTTTTAAGAATATTTCACTGTTTAAACACTGAGTTTCTGACCACAAGTTTAAGAAATGACAGGCTCAGCATACAGTATTCATTTTTAGAAGTTTTTGTAATGTAGTGAAATGAAATTGATTTGACAAGTTGTAAAAACTTAACAAATTTTAGACTCAATGTTCTTTAATAATAATAAAAACTTTAATCCTCTTGTAACTCAAACTTATTGGTGACAGACACCTTGTATTTTTCATTCAGTATTGAATGTAGCAAAGATACCACATACCTGCCATCAGAGAATTTATCAATGATGGAAATTAGGGTGAGGAAGTGTAGTAAGAAAGTTAAGTATCTTTAGAAGTCAGATATTTGATAGATGTCATATAAATTTTGAGGTTAGTTAATGTTAATCTTACCAAACGCAGTTTTACTTCTAAATATTAAACCATATTTACACAAAGAGTATAAAGACATGGCTCATTACTTTACCAAAATGCAGTTGATATGACATGGCTGTAATTTATCTATCTAACTCGTACTTTTTATATTAGTTTACTTTGCATTGGCATGATTTCTAAACTGTTTAGATCTTTTAAATTTGCATTTCAAAGTAGCTATAAAATATGTATTCCATTGCAAAACATTAGCATAAAGTGATTCGATATTATATATTCCGTCAGAAATGCCAGGAAGAATTCCACAACCATTGCATTTCCATCTGGCAGCATCTTCCTACACTGAATATTTGCATAAATATTTCAGCAATAAAGTAAAATTATGAAACATAAACTCTTTAGGTTATTTTCCAAATTGATAACCTCTTCAAAATTTAATAAGCAAAGGAGCTATGCAATTGCAAGGAAATTACTATAGTGCTTTCCACCTATTTTGAACTGTCCTGGGGAAATAGTTCTTTCTTTTCTTCAATACATATTTTACTCATATCTTACTATTTCTGTCCATAAGGAATGAGTATTCAGTGGTTGAAAAAATGAATTTCTACTCAACATAGGTATGAATGTTTAAGTAGTCTGGCTGAGTTTTCCAGAACATTATTCATCTTGAATGAAAGAGCTATGTGCTGAGTTAATGACAGGTGACTGTCATAGAATTGGGATATTATAGAGCAAGAATCTTCTATTTTATTTAAATGAATGCCATCTTTTTTAGTGCAAAGATAACATTCATCCTCAGAGCTACAATTTTCAAGATTGGTGATGATTGGTATGCTAACCAAATTTCCAGAAGCTCATTGATTTTTTTACCAGTGATATGAGACAGCACCTTTATTTTCACCCATGTCGTGCAAGCGATGTTCATAGTTTCACATGTATGTGAGGATAGATACTAGAGAGGTACTTTATATGCTACTTTATTTAATAAGCTAACTCTTTATACATTAAAAAGTATCTTAGAGTTCCACAGTGGAGTTAGAACAGGATTTGAATTTGGCTCTGCCTCTTATTAATTCTGTGTGCAATTTTCTTAAAACCTTTTTAATCCATTTACACATCTTAGAAGAGTGGTAGCAATGATGCCAATCATTATTCTCTGAATTCAGGGAGAAAATGTATGTCAAAAACTCACCCCACTGCCTAACATGGGTAAAGGTTCAGAAAATATAAGGTGTCCCTACTACAATCTGTTCTTATTTTTATTATCATTGTGGTTACTAATCTGCCCAAACTTTACTAAATAGCTTCTATCAAATACAGTTCTTATGTGTGACATGATAGAGAAAGTGACAACCTGGAAGTCAGAGCACCTGGATGGTATCTCGGTTCATCACCTCTAGGGTCTTCGGGTCGGGGTTTGCATCTCTGAACCTCATGTTCCTTATGTTTAAATAGAAGATGAAGCTTAAAGATGATAGTCAAAATTCCTTCCAGTTTGAACTTTCTAGAAAATGAATCCTTCCATAGCTAAACAGTGGTGTTGGAAGCTTAAACTTTTAAGCTCTATCAAAACATTTTAGCCACCTTACCTCTTCAACTCTGTGAGGTGGGTCAGTATTTGGTGAGCACTTGTTCTATATCTGTCATTGTGTAAATAATTCTATAAAATAGTGCTTAGCTCTCAAGGTGTAAGGAGGTTTTCAGATTGCTGAAAATCCACAGGAATGCTGGGTACATTTCATGGTGGCTCAATAGCTGATATTTATTAAGCACTCTGTGCTTAGCTCCTGCATTTTTTACACATATTATTGTATTTAATATCATCTGATTTTAGTTTCACAATAACTCTGCAGTTAGAAAACTGAAACTCAGAGAAACAAGAAAGTGGGAAAGTTGAGGTTAAAAACCCGGCTCCTTTTGACCTCAAAGCCCACATTCATTCCATCACTGTACAATATCTCATATGGCATAGGCTTAATTCTTGGTTATTTAAATGAATTTTTGAACATTTTGGTGAAAATTTTTATGCAAAAAATAAGAGATTGTATAGTAAAAAAGGGTTTGTGTTGTAAATATGCTAAAATTTGAAATCGAGGCTATTAAACTTGACAGGCTGAAAATCACCAGAAAATATTTCAATTTTTTTCCTCTGTTTTAATTAGAGATGATGATGATAAAATAGGAATTGGAGTAAACTGGTCTTTTCCTTTCAATGAACTTGATATTTTTAATATTTATTTTTGAAAAGGGATGGTAAGACTACCTGATGCTTTTTTAAAATAAATTTTATTGTGTATATTTAAGGTATACAAAATGATGCTATAAGATACAAATATATAGCAAAATGGTTACTATAGAGGAACAAATTAAGGTATCCATCATCTCACATAGTTACTCATTTTTTCCCCTGGTGGCAAGAGCAGCAATAATCTACCCATTTAGCAAAATCCTGAATACAATGCACTATTATTAACTATAGCCCTCATGTAGTACATTGCATCTTTTGACTTATTCATCCTGATGATTTTAAGCTGGAATCTGTTGGGAAAAAATTGATGAATACTTCTAAGATTTTTTCATTTAAAAAAAACCAAAATCTGTAAACTGTGCTACTCTCAATAGAGATTAAGAGGAATTACCTAATATAAATATATAAAAATTTAAAAAATATATCTGCACAGTATTTTGAAATTCATTCTCTGGGTAAGAAAAGCATCATGTCAGCTCTTTAGAGACCCAAGATTCTCAGACAACCAATGGAGGAACTAATGTATGAATTTTTGCCTTGAACAGTTCCTGATACCTTCATGCTCTTACAGTTCTGTAGAGCTGAGGATATACAAATTTGTGATGATTATGCTTTCAATTTGCCTGTGGTTTCCCAGGCAATATTGCAGTGTCCCAGTATATCAGCTGTGCAGGTATGAATATGCCTGTTTTGCAGATGAGGAAGTCGGTGTTCAGAGAGGTGAAGTGACTTACTCAAATTCTTGGGGGTGGAATCAGACTCAGATCTCTCAAAGTCAACTCCAGTCATTTTCCAATACCTCCCACTTATTCTTGCAATAATCCAACACATAATTACTTATGTTTCTGTGTTTTCAATGAGTTAGGGGAAAATGGTCAACATTGTGTGTCCTTAATAGCACAGTTACCACATAGTAACTGCAGGACTTTTTAGTGCTACCAGTCTTTTTATTTTAATATTTCTATTTAAAATTTTTATCTTATTTTAAAATTTTTATTTTAGTGCTGCTTCTGTAGGAATCAATGCATTCCATGGCATACATTAGTAAGTACAAGATCAAATTGCAAGATAAGTTCTTGCATCGATTGTGTTTTAATATTTCTCATTGGGTTAGTCCTAGTTTATGGTACAGTGAGTGCACAGCAAGACGGGTAGATAAATCATAGACCATAGGAGCTGAAGGAACCTTAGTTTGTCAAACCTCTTGCTATAACAAAGTAGGAAACTGAGACCTCAGATATGAAGGGAGAGGTGACAGGTCACACAGCTTGTCTAGGGCAGAGTAAGGCAAGAACTCATTCATTATCCCTACCAATGTGGAAAATGCAGATCACCACCAGTATATTGGGCAATTTGAGGTGCTACTGAGATGATAATTTTTTTAATGTACTGGTATATTTATGCATTTTTAAAATTCTTACTGTAGAAAAACACATGGAAGAATAAAAGGTGTTTTTTTGTAGTTGGCCAAACCCTGCTTCATCTGGGTTTCGGCAGCCCCGCTGCTTATGGGGTCATTATGGGACCTTGTGCTTCAGCACTGGGGCGTGGAGCTGTAGCAGGCATCACGATGATCACACCTCTAATATGTTTTGGGGCATACCCAGGAGTCCCAGGTTCTTACAGCTCATTATCTGCTCTATTTCCCATCATGCTCATAGGTTTCATTCAGCTCCTTAAATATACCAAGTGTTCTCTTGCCCCAGGCCCTCTGCATATGCGATTTTCACTGCCTGTAATCCTCTTACGTAGGTAGGTTCTTCTCTTCTTTTAACTTCTTATTTTGACATAATTGTAGATTCACATGCAGCTGTAATAAATAAGTGATAGAGAAATCTTGCGTATCCGTTACCTAATTTCCTTCAATGGTAACATCTTGCATAACTATATCACAAAATCAAACCAGGAAACTGACAGCAGTATAATCCAGCAACTTTAATCGGATTTCACCAATTTTCCAAACTCTGTGTGTGTGTGCGTGATGGAATTTTATTATGTAGACTTGTGTAAGCACCACAATAAAGAAAGATACAGAACCATTCCATCACAAGGCTCTCTCATGCTACTCTTTGTAGTTATAGTCACATCTCCCCTTTTCTCCCTCCCAAAAACCTGGAACCACAAATGATTTTCCTATTGCTATAATTTTGTTAGGAGATGAATATTTTAATAGCTTTTTTTTTTTTACTTTAACATGTATTGGGAAAAATTAGCCCTCTAAAACCATGATTTCAGAGATATTGCTTGGGATCAAAATAACTTGGATATTTAAGTTTTTAAAAAGTAGTCAATTTAAAGAAACATGGTGAGTAAACAATAATTCAGGTGGTACACAGCTTTCATGAAAATTGTGAAGGTGGTAGATGATGCGTTTGGGGGACAGCAAATTTGAACAGGATAGAATAAACGGTTAAGGGGAGGAAGACCACCTGTTCAACCCTTTTTCATGCTAAGAGTAACTTTTAAATGTGGCTAGGCATTCCAAGCCAATACTTCCAGTCCAGTTGTTAGGGCTTAGTTATAAAACCAGCTAGTTGCCCCTGTACATTTGAGCAAGCATGGTGGATCAAGCACAAAGGAGGGGAGGGATAGCATTAGGAGATATACCTAATGCTAAATGATGAGTTAATGGGTGCAGCACACCAACATGGCACATGTATACATATGTAACAAACCTGCACGTTGTGCACATGTACCCTAAAACTTAAAGTATAATAATAATAAAATTAAAAAAAAAGAGTTTACAAACACCCTGGCTGACTCTCTAGTACAATAGAAAATTACCAGGTGACAGGCAGAGTCTAAACCCTGAAAGTTTTCATTGAAAAAGTTTTGGTTTTCTACTTGTACTTAGTTCTTACTGAATCAAGGAGAGAAATGAGGTAGAATTAGAATAACTGAGAGATTTTAAGTTATACCACAAGGCATGAAAAAAACAACCTGCTCGTTCTTGAGGAATCTGTTCAAGTCTACAAAACTTACTTGTCTGTCGTATACAAAAGTAAATAAATAAATAAAAATCGGGGCTAAAAATACATGACTCTTTAGGTCTAATATATTGTTTGTTTCATTCGTCCTGTGTGATACTAAAGAAAATACAATTTTTAAAAAGAGCTTAAGTACAGGTATTTTAAAATTTACTTTGCCAAGGTAGCCCTTGTAGTAGTAATAAGAATAAATTTTTCAACCAAGATGTATTTATTAATATTTATCTTCTATCTGGTAAACTAGAATGGAAAATCCAAAGTTTTGGTCCAGTTGAAATGCAACATCAGTTCCATTAAACGCCGCCTTCTATCCTATTGTAAACAAATTAGGATTCAATAATTCTTTGTTAGCTACTTCATTTATTTAATTTAGGATAAATTTTACTAGTTTAACAGTGAATTCAAAGTTACAAATTGTTTCATTTCCTAGTGAAGTGCAAATTGCATTTCATGAAAACGAACTGTTACCACTAGAGTTATTTTAAATTTTTGTTTTCATTTCCCATGAAGTTCTAAACAATAACAACAAAATTGAATGAAAAATTGTTACTCACTGACTTATAAGACTAAAAACAAATCTGTTATTTCAGCTAGATTCACTCCATAATTTCACTACATTCTAAGAAATAAATTTAGTCAGCTTTTACTGAAAATGCACAATGGAAATGGCTTGTGCTAGACTTAGTGTAATCTTCTAATTCTGGCTCTTAATATAAAAGAACAATTTTGTGTTTGAGAATCTTACTGCATCCTAATTAGACACATCATGATACTATATATCTAGAAGCTATATCTGTAATATTTATCACTGCATTAATTCATAGGAATTTCCCCCTGAATATTATAAAGAGAGGCAGTACATATTCTTTTAGAAAAATGTGTCTGAAGTTTCTCAATGGTTATTTTGGGAAAGAAGAAAGCTTCATTTCATGCTCTAAATTTTATAAACTGGATTTCTATAACATTCTTCTTATTGGAATTTTGAAGAATGTAGAGTGATTATTCTCCTGAGGAAAGAGTATGGGTGAAAATGGCTGGATGGAGATTTAAAATTACATCGAAGAAGGACTGATGATGCCTGAGTAACTCTTATTTCCAAATCTGACTGGCAGGAAAAGGAGAGAAACTACACTAAGAGAACTAGGAGGGTTAGCATTTTTTTAAACTTTATGCATGGTAAGTACAATAGCTACTTATAAGAAAGAAACATAGCATTTGTTTCACATCGAGGACTAGATCTGTGTTAGATAGAAAAAGGCAAATAACACTGTATTTTGATTCTTCATGGCAGTATTAAAAGAAAAGAACCGCAGAAAGCAATGATTATTTTGGAAAGATTTCTTGCCTTTTCCAACCTGTTAAGATGCTAAATGTACACATATTGACAAGTCTGAATCCATTGCCTCCCATAGATATTCTAAACTTTTGGCTGTATTTATTGACGAAGCATTTTCCAGGGCAGCTAGAAGGTTTGCCACTGCTGTACTCAGCTTATAGGTAAAGAGAGACTTTGAGTCACATCAACAGCCCTCTGGAGTTGTCATACCTTGCAGACATTACAACAATTCAGGCTGGATAGGACAGCTAGATGCTTTTTTACATACACAGGCACACATGCACACACACATACAAACCTCCCTCCCCCTACACCACCAAATATACCAAAAAAGAGTTTAAAGAAATGAGCAAAACTTCCAAAATGATAAAAGGGACCTAACAATGTACTCCCTGAAAGTCTGTCAGAGGGCAGAAACCAATGACACTCATCCCAATGCAGCATCTCTCTTGCATTGAACCCCCCAACGCTGTTACTGTGTCAGAGCAAAAACAAGGAAATTACTAGATCAAAACAGCCAGGGATGAGGACATTTATCTAAATATTTGGTGCACAAGGTGACATCATATAAGATCAGATAGCTATGTACTCAGAAATCTGAAAATTGATTTCCTCAGATGCATGAAATAGAAACTTGATAAGCATCTATTGTGGTTCTGGTACTATGTATTTATCCTGGATTCAAAATTATATTCTATTTCTTGGAGAAAGAGTTTCTTCCCTTAATAATATTGATTCCTCCTGGCCCCTCCTCTCTTTACCCCTTCACCCCACCCCATCAAAACCCCCTCCCTGTGGTTACCAAGTCTCTGCCATTTTCTACGTTACTATTTTGTTCCTGGCGAGGCTAAATTTGACCTGGACAATTTAAATTGAAATTTCCTTATGGGGTTATAAACTCTAGTGAGTTAGGATACTATTGTTTTTACTAAAGTCATTATAAAATCATTTTTTTCACTGCTTTATTTTAGAAATTAGAAGTAGTTTAATTCAAAAATCTTTAATGAAGGCTGATTCTGTTCATAAGAAAAATTCTTTATAGCAGCATGATTTATAGTCATTTGGGTATATACCCAGTAATGGGATGGCTGGGTCAAATGGTATTTCTAGTTCTAGATCCCTGAGGTATCACCACACTGTCTTCCACAATGGTTGAACTAGTTTACAGTCCCACCAATACCTAATGCTAGATGACGAGTTAGTGGGTGCAGTGCACCAGCATGGCACATGTATACATATGTAACTAACCTGCACAATGTGCACATGTACCCTAAAACTTAAAGTATAATAAAAAAAAAAAGAAAAAAGAAAAATTCTTCTTAGGGTTAAGTTGTTATCGTTCAATCCTATGCTACACCTTGAATATACTATTTTAGGCAAGGAAAATATCAAACATAGTCTAGTATAACATGTGCCCATTTTGGCCATGCCTATCTGTCTTCTTTCTGTAATGAGACCATATATTTCCTCAGAATGATAGGTTGTGCTCGGGCTTTGATGGGGATTTTTGTTTTATTTTGGAGGATGGTAGTGTGTTATTTAGCAAGTCCCTATTTCTACCTCTTTAGTGAGGGTGGTAGACAGAGAAACCTGAAAAAACTTTGATTTTGTTGTTAGCGTCTAAATTACCCATTTTAGTATGGAAGAAAATAGTCATGAGAACATCCTGAGCTTAACTACTCCTAATTAACTAATTAGACATTTCTGACAGTGGAATCAAATTTCTTGAACCATTAACAACTTTTAAAAATGTGTGCCAGGGTCTGAAAGAGTTAAGCATCCAAAGATGCCTAATTTACTCTCTTAGAGTAGTTTAGGCCCTGGGAGGTTTTTGACTCATTCTTGTTTTCACTTTCTGTCTGAAGGAGCAATTCACATGGAGGCAGACAGATAGAACAGAGCTTTCATTATAGCAGAAACATGCACTGTGAGCCCCTTTTATGCCTTGCAGAGGCCATGCAAAAGAGAGAGCAGTTCTAAATTATACTTCTCACAATGCTTCCCAAAGAGAACATGGCAAATGAATTCAATTCTTTTAAACTAAATTGAATATCCAAAGGAAAATAAATCCGAACAACCAACCTAGTTTTATGTGTTCCATTCCCATAATTTCACTACACTCCCATTACTTGAATTTGGTTAGATCAAATTTAAGATAAAACACCTTAACACAAATTTGTAGAATGAGTTTTAAGAGAGAGAAAGTGACTTGTTTCAGCATGGAGAGATAGCTTTCCTGTAATTGAATATCACTTGTATTCATCATGTTTCGCTGTCTAGCAATGTGGGGTTTTTGTTTTTAAAATAAACCTAAGAGAATCTAAGTTCAGGAGAGAGACCCCACAGAATTTACTAGGATTTACATATATGCAAATATGGAGACACAGAAGAGACTAAGGAGAAAGTGCCCTTTTCTGATGTATTTCAAGATAATAATTGAAATTCTTTGGTGATATGTATCTTTCAAGTAATGAGCTTGGCACAAAATCAGCCTGGGTGCACACACACATGTACAAATGCACACAGACTGGAAAATCAGTGAAGACAGACTCAGGTAAGTTCTATCAATGAGAGGACAGGAACTCTTGCCTCTTCAAATAGATTGTTTCAGAGGAAAAATTACTGTGTAGACTAGAAGGACTCAAATACCTAATCAAAGATCATGAATGAATTCTGATAGGGGATTTTCTGAAACAAAGGTCCTTTATTCATCCTGTTTTTAGAGTCACCATATTTACTTCATTGGAGCTTTTTTCTTCATCATATCAATATGCACAAATCCTCATAAGAAGGAGTAAAATAGTACTTATTTATTTATTGAAGCAAGAAACATTTATTGAGAATTTATGAAGCACCAGGTTCTATCCCGGATATCTGATGAGAACATGGATAAATATAACACAGCCACTCCCCTTGGAGTCTTACCATCTAGCAGGACTACAAGATATGATGAACTGGGGAATAAATGCAGGAAGTGCCATGAGGGATGATATACAGAAAGTCCTGGGAGCTCAGGCTAAAGAACAGCTGATTCTGCCCCCAAGGGGCACACAGAGGGGAAAGCTGTAGATATGAGAAGGTAAGGGTGGTGATATTTAAACCAAACTTTGAAGGATGAAACTTGGCATCTGTGGAATGTTGGTATGTGAATAGCAGTCAAAAGACAAAATTAGAAGGCACTTGGTTTAGTGCAAAACCAGGAGCCAGCAATGGCTGTCATGGAAGCAAACTCAAAGCCCTAAAGAGAGGGAGGTAAGAAGGGTAGGGAAGGCCAGCAGTCACAGGGTCAGATGAGAAATTTCTGCTGGACATGCCTGGCTGCTCCAGTGTCTTCGATTATCCCCAGCACCTACTGTAATCATTCCCAACCCGAGGGGCTCTCATAAAGGTAGACAGGGGTATCTGGCCAGTCCCCAGAACCACAGCAGGAAAAGGCAATCCAGGCAGAGAAAACAGCCTAAGTAAAGGCTAAACTCTGCAGTATAATTGGGAAATGGCAAGAGATATTTGTGGCTTGAGTGTGAAGCATGAGCATGAACTATAACACCATGGCCTCACCTGTTGGGAGATTATGCCTCTGACAGGATTACCTACTCTGCACAGCAGGTGCTGCAGGGGCTGGTGGGAAAGCCAAGGCCTTAACACAGTCTCTGCACTTCCCAAAAAGAGCCACACTGCTACTGATAAAACTGCTTCAATGAGAACTTGGTTGACTATTAAGCTTCTCAACCAAAGACTTTGGAGAGTTTCAAAGATATGTGCCAAAAACAAAACACAGGTGCCTAAAAACTGGACCTAACTACAGTTTGTATGTCATGTAGGCTTAAAATTATATAATCCGTGAAAAATCCACAAAGCAACCTAGAAAATAGGTGAGATGTAGATGACTGGGACGTGCTTAGGCTGCGCTTATGAGAGACTCCCTTGGTAATGGAAATAAAAATGCAAGCATGGTATTGTAAGCTAAAGTGCACATGGAATATCATACGGTATTAGCATCCTTTTTTTTTTTTTTTTTTTTTTTTTTGAGACAGAGTCTTGCTCTGTTGCCAGGCTGGAGTGCAGTGTCCCAGTCTCAGTTCACTGCAACCTCCGCCTCCCTGGTTCAAGCGATTCCCTTGCCTCAGCCTCCCGAGTAGCTGGGACTACAGGCGCACACCACCATGCCCAGCTAATTTTTTGTATTTTATTAGAGACAGGGTTTCACCATGTTGGCCAGGATGATCTCGATCTCCTGACCTCGTGATCCGCCCACCACAGCCTCCCAAAGTGCTGGGATTACAGGCATGAGCCACTGCGCCCAGCAGCATTCATTGATTTTTAAAGGACAAAGCAAAGAAAAATACAATTATATGCTGATAGGTTTCACAGCCACATAAAATGGTGTGAAAATTAATTTTTCATAAAAGAAGTGAGGATTACTGACCCCTTACATTTAATGGGAATCTAGTCTTTGCCCTGCCTTTCTGATGGGTCATATGACCTTGAGAAAGTTTCTTAACCACTTTGGATTCCTGAGTCTTTATTTTAAAAATGAAAATACTACCCACATGTCTACTTAATTAATTAATGTGAGAATTAAAAGATGTCACACAGATAAAAGTGTTTGGTAAATTATAAGATACATGTTAAAGATAAGTGTTATCAAAGTCGTTAATTTTATAACTTTAAAATTTCCAAAATGGAATTTATTTCTAAATAAATAATACATTGTATGAACTGGGAATTAGAGTAGAACAAAAATGTCAGGTGGGGTAAAGTGGGGATAGTAAAAGAAGGAAGCTTATGCTTCAAACCAATAATGAAAGGACTGAATGCCAATAATCAATAATCAAAACAGAAGGAAGCTCATGCTTTAAGCCAATAATCAAAGGGCTGAATGCTACTCTAAGAAAAGATCCTCCTGTAAAAGAACAACTCATAAAATACCTGAGTAGGCAAGTCTTATGAAGAGAAAGCAGATCTAGTCTCATGCAGTTATTGCAAACAGCAGGCCTGTTGTGAAAACAGCGACCCATAGGTATAAGTTTTGTGTACTCTCCCTTGTTTGTTAGCTGACAGCACAAACACAGAGGTGACAGGGCAGGGTGGGTTTAATAAATGACACCTTAGAGCAAACATGTATACAAAACTTTTCACTGCCAAATAGTGCATGAATGGACAAATGTAAATAGCTGGACCCAGAGGAGCCCTCCCTGGTTGTCTAAAGATGTTCAATGCAAACATCATAAGGAGCCCAGGGACCATTAAGCTTTCACTTTCTTTCAAATTTATGAGCATGTAGTCTTACAGCTTAGATTTTAGCAGGGCATCAGCAGTATCTTCTAAATGGGGAATGTCATTTTTAAAAATTTGTATTTAGTATACTACATATAGTAGTATTCACTTTTTCTGGTGTACAGTTGCATGCATTTTATTTAACATGTGCATAGATTCTTGTAACTACCACTGCAAACAGGAAATAGAACAATTCTAATATCCCAAAGAATTTCCTTGTGTCTATCCTTTGTTGTTAGACTCTTCCCCTATCCCTAACTCCTGGCAATCATTGGTCTTTTCTCTGTTCCTATAGTGTTGCCTTGTCCAAAATGTCATATAAAGGGAATTGTTCAATTATGTAGTCATTTGCTGGTTTAGGTTTCGAGCTATGAAACCTTACAAGCTATTATAAAAGTGCATCCAGACTAGGCTATCAAAAGTAAGCTAAGCTCAGATTCAGTGGGAGACAGGATTAGTTTTGGCCAACCATATGCTTTCTGTTCATTCTTTGTGACATGAGGTTGACAAGATAATGTTCTAATAAATGCTTTTTTTTTAAATTAGGCCTTTCTTAAGGGCATCAGTAGCTTTCTTTCATCAATGGAACTAAGCTTTATTCCATAATCCTTTACTGACCATTTGTTTTTAAATCAGGCTATGGTGTACAATGCTGGAAATTTGTAAGTAAGAGGCCCTTGTCTCTACTCTCAAGAGGCAAGAAGTGCTCCATCAGCTGCTTTCTGGTGCCAGGTTCTGCTATGGATTTCTCTATCCTCCTCAGACAATATCGGGGTTACTTTTATCTTTATATTTTTAACATTTGAACATGAACAATGTGCCAGACACCATTCTTGACACTTGGGATAAAACCAGCAAAACAGAACAGACCAAAACGGACCAAAATTCTTGTCCTCATGGACTTTACAGCCCAGCTTGTGAAGACAAATAATAAACCATAGACATAATAAATAAATTGCATGGTATGTTAGAAAGTGAAGGATGATTGATATGCAAAAAGATAAAGTAGAAAGAGATAAGAGAGTGCTACAGGATGATATGGTTGCTAAATAATTGGCAGTGTACATTTTTAGGGAAAGTGACATTTTAGCAAATATTTGATAGAAAGGCAATTAGTTATGAAGTTACCTTGGGAAAGAGTATCCCATGTAGAGGACACAGACTGCCAAGATCCTGAGGTGGGAGCATGCCCACAGTTTAAGGAAGAGCAAGAAGGTCACCTTGGCTGAAGCAGAGAGAGCAAGGGGCTAGTAGATGAGATTCGAAAATAATTAGGGGATGGAGAATGAGATCACATGGGACCACAGTAGACCATTGTAAAGAATCTGGCTCTTGCTCTGAGGGAAATTGGAACCACTGCAGGGTTTTGAGAAGACAAAATGCTTGATATGACTTACATTAAGAAGGACCTTTCTGGCAAGTGTTTGGAGAATAGATTGTAGGGGGCAATGCAGATGCAGGGAATCAACTGCAGTAATCCAGGAGAGAGACCAGGGTGGTACAGACCATGCTATTCACAGTGGGAGGAGAAGAGTTGGATTCTGGATATATTTTAAAGTAGATTCAGCATGATTCTCCAAGAGTTTGGGTGTGGGTTGTGATTTAAAAAATGTATATTCAAAAATGACTGCATTTATTTTTGGCCCAAAGAATTGGAAGTTTGGAAATCCCATCAAATGAAATAGAAAGACATGAATTTATCAGATTTGAGGGAAGAAGATCAGGACATGTTGAATGTAAGAGAGATATTAGACATGTGACATTTGGGTTATATCTGGAGTTTGGAAGAGAGGTATGATCTAGGGATACTTGAGACTTCTTGGTATATAGTTGGTGAAGTCATTTGACTGGATCAGATCATCTATCATGTTACTGTAAATAGAAAAAGTTAGAGGGTCAACGATTAGCCTGGAGCCTTCCAACATTAAAAGTACCAGCTGAAGATACCTAGAAGGATGACAGTAAATGCAGGAAAAAATCCAAGACAATGAGGTTTTCTGGAAACCAGTGAAGGAGGTGTTATGAAGGAGAGAGTGGCCAACTCTGTCAAATGGTGAATGTAAGGTAAGGACTTACTGGATTTAGAGTTAGGAATCATCCAAATTTTACTGAAAAGGATGGTGCAGAATTTTGTAGTCTTGGCTGTGAGGGAGAAGGCAGTCAGTGAGATTTACTTAAGGACTTCTGCACAGCACGGGAGACAATTGCTTATATTTCAGCTGCACCTCCAAATTCTCAAGTGTTTGGATTATTAAGTTGCCCAGTAGGGCCATGATTCTGGAATAAGTCAGATCTTTCATGTGATACATGATTAGATACATTTTACAAAGAGCTGCTTTTTCTCCCTGTGAAACCAAACCAACCTCATTGTTCAGTTGGGCATTATGTGCTCCTGTATACACCATTCTCAAACAACTGTTTCCCTCCACTCCACCTCAATTGCCTGCAGGAAAACTGGTCAGGCCCAGGAATAGCTGCCTCTCATAGAGTACAGGCCAGGATTTCCCCCCCGGCCATGAGCCTGTCATTCCTAACACTGAGCATGTGCTTCAGGCAGGAGGGATCATGACCTTTGTGCTTTATCCCCATCCATTTCCTCTCTATATACTGCTGTCTCTACACAGGTGGCCCCTGAAGACTGGTCACTTTAAGAAAACACTCCCCAGTAATTCTGCTTTTGCCTGATAAACAAAGCAATCCCCACCCCTGGATCAGCAATGCCATTGCCTTCTGCTGTACTGGGGTAACTGGGCCCTTATGAAGAAAGCTGCATGAGCAAGGAAGGGTGGTTCAAAGAGCCTCAGTAACAGCCACTTACCCCATTTCCCTCTCTCCCTTCTCAGTTTTCTACTTCCAAATATTCCCAATGGCAACCCCTTTGAAAACAAATGTATACTTACTCTTCTTACTCTCCCTTGAGTATGTATAGTTGGAGATGACCAAGGTCTGCTTTAGGAGAGGTTAACAAAAAGAAACAGACACAATAGAATTGTTAATTAAAAAGTGTAAAAAGTAGCATCAAGTGATTCAAAATACAAAAATTGGCCTAATAAGTAAAGCATTTTAATAAGTAATAGTTATTTTTATGTTGTATGTAAGAAAATAAAAAATAATCAAGAACCATGTCCTTAGGTAGTAAGTAAAATTTCCTCTTTTGTAAAGAGCAGAGTGAAATATGGATAGAAAGATGATAAATGAGTACAGCAGCTGCTACATTGGTTTGAAAACTAGTAATGCAATAGTAATGAGCCCAAAGGATGAACCCAATGGGCTTTCACAGGTTGTCTGATCATAAAATATTGAATAAATATGATAGCCATTGCCCCTCCCCACCAGACAGATAGACATCTGTGCAAGTAGCCATCTGGCAGGCTTTGGTGGATGAAATTGTCATGCTTTACTATCTTGGATTTGGTGAGATCCCAACAAAACACCCACCAACCCAATCACTCTCCAAACAACTATTTTTACAATACAAGATGATTATCTGACATCTCTGCTCCACAGATCCCTAACGTTTAGTCAGGTAATACCAATTCATTCCAAGTGTGGTGTTTGGGATTGTAACTGACATTGTCATGTGAAGGTCATTTGTTTGGTGTCAGTTGTCCCTATTTTGCCAGAAAAATAAAAGGATACTTTTTGATAATGATAACCAGTTCTATTTTTACCTTGTACCTGGGGAAGAATAAAAGAGAAAATCAGAATATATCTGAATTCAAATAGGAAAAATACACAGAAACTCTTCAACATTTTTAAAATGAAAATTGAATTTCTTTGGACAAAGCAATTCTAAAATAGCAAACTTTCTCTTTCTTTTTCTCACAGTGTTGCACTTCTGGTTTTTCATGTTACTGGTTCCAATAATGTAATAATAGTAAAATACAGATTTTGATAACTTTTCAAAGGAAGAACATTTTTACTGTTTTTTTGTTGGCAGCACATCTTATCATGACTTTGACTACTTTCAGCTTGTCTCAAGATAAGAACTGCGTATTAGGGAAGCTGGAAACAGGGATTTGGAGTTTGATGCAGTCTTCTAAATGGCCAATAAAAATAATATATGAGAATGTTACTTTTAGAAGTGAGCACATAGTAGACATTCAATAAAAATACTTCTTGATTTATTAGGTTATTAGGAAGGACTTTGTGGCCTAGAATATATGGATTTCCTAGAACTACTGATCTAGGAATTAAAATAGCATATAAATGATCAATAGCAATAAAATCAAGACCCACAGAGAAAGAAATCTTTGTTTCTGCTTCTTGCATGTCAAAAGAGAAGTTTGCATCTTAGGACTTGTGTGTAGCACATAGTAGGTGTTCCATGAACATTTGTTAAATGAATTTATAGCAGAAAATATTTATAATATTCTCCCTGTGGCTACCCCAGAGGCACAACTCTCAATTACCTCAATTCTACTGTCAGAGATTTAGAAATGCTTTGTGGTTTGATTGAATGTCACCTCTGCAAGTTTGGGCAGCAGAACTGGGGAAACAGCTCCCATTGCAAGGAATTGGGAAGAGCAATGTGAAAGTGACTCACGGGTTCAAAGCTCACCAAAAGTCCTCCACTTGACTAATTCATCCCTGCATTATGTGGGAATTGATGTGGCCCTTTCCCTTCAGGATGGAATAGAATTGAGGTAGTCCTTATCAAATTTATGTCATCAGATACTTTCATAGCTAATGCCTGTGTGTGCACAGGATTGTTGGGGGGCTGTTCATTCATTGCCTTGGATGCTCTTGGTTTGTTGATAATGTTTCAAAATTGTTTCAGTGCAAAATGAAGCACCTAATAGGCTTGGAGTTAAGGCATCCTCCACACACTAGCTCTTAAATCTGGTATTTTATTTCATGGCAAGAATTGAGGCTGACAGTGATGCCATGGAGCAATGCCTGGATCGTGCTGAATTCATTACCATCTCCACACCCTGAAAAGAGAAGGAAGGATTGGGGCGGGTACCAGAGAGACGGCAGTCTTGACAGGGATGTCTCCTGATATGAAGTATAGTAATATAGGCCTGCCTCTATTGATATTGCTCCAGAGACAGATATTCCACTTTCAGAATATTCTGTAACAGAAACTATATGTCACAGGTTATTACATGATATTGCTTCGTTATGGAGTGGTATATTGAAACATGCGTTTTTTTCTGGGAAGTAGAAATTGACTGTCAGGGGCATATGATGTGTATCACCGCTAAGTGTCTAAAATAGAACACATTCTATTACTCTTTATCCCTTTGTCTTGATCACTTTCTCATACTATATATATAAAACATATGTATTATATTTATATAAATGTAAGCACCATAAGGGCAGGAGTTTGTCTGCCTGTTTAGTGCTATACCCTGGTGTCTAGAACAGTGCCTGGCATGGATATTGTGTTTGCTTTAAGTTCCTTTCTACGCACTACATTAGATGGTTGAGTTGGTTGCCCTGATCTAGAGTCGTCCCCTGGAATCCAGTGGTGCAGTTTGTCTGTCAGTAGCCCTCTATTCCTTCCAGGATGACTTCTGGCCGAGCAAATTCATAGAGAATGCATGCCCCTCACCTCTAGTGACCTCAGTGTGGCCCAAAGCAATAGCTCCTGTACTTTAGCTACTTCACACATTGGACAGAGTGAATTATCATTGTGTCTTGCTATCACCCCTAAGACCCCCTCTCTTGATTTTTAATTTATCCTTCTACACTGATCCTTTTGGCAGGCTTTTCTGTACTTTGGGTTCCCAACAACCACTTAAATATTAATGAAAATCAGTTGTATTAGACCGCTCTTGTATTGCTATAAAGAAACACCCAAGACAGGGTTGTTGTTTATAAAGGAGAGAAGTTTAATTGGCTCATGGCTTTACAGGCTTTACAGGAAGCATGGTGCTGGCATCTGCTTGGCTTCTAGGAAGGCCTCAGGAAGATTCCAATCATGGCAGAGGCAAAGAGGGAGCAGGCATGTCACAGGGCAAAAGCATGAGCAAGAGAGAAAGAGAGTGGGCTGGGAGGCGCCACACACTTTTAAATGACCAGATCTGGTATGAACTCAGAGCGAGAGCTCACTTACCACCAAGACGATGGCCCAAACCATTCATGAGGAATCTGCCCCAATGATCCAAACCCCACCCACCACCAGGTGCCACCATCAATATTGGGGATTACATTTCAACATGAGTTTGGGCAGAGACAAATATTCAAACTATATTATTAGTATAGAACAGTTAGTAAGAACTTGGGCACTGAATTCAAGCAAACCTGGGTTCAAATCCTTGTGTCAGCACTTGCGTCTGTGCCCTTTACAAGTTACTTAAAACTCCCTACCATTCAGTTCCCTGATCTGTAAAAATTAGTTAATAATATCCACTTCACATGGTGGCATAGAGTAAGCATTCAATAAACACTTCCTGTTACTATCACTAATAATTTGTGTCTAGACTTGTCCCTCCAGGCTTAATCATTTGCTGACTCTCTAGACCTGTGACAGCACAGGCAACACTGGATTTGGAGTTAAGAATCATCCAATAAAACTCAGCCACATCATCTCCCTGCCCACATCTCCCACTATGCCTGTTAACCTAGAGGAGTCCTGCCTGTAGATTGCATGGGACAGCAACATTTCAAAAGATGCTTTTGATAGGAAAAAAGAGTCTACATCACAGGAATGCTATTTATTTTTTATTTAACAAATGACATTTAGAAATACCAATCTGTGCTATCACTATGATTTCAATAAAAAATATTTCAATGCCCCTGGAAACTAGAAAAAATACAGAACAAACAGCCCTCCTAAAAATGAAGATCTAGCAACAATATCTGAACCATGCCATCTATGTTTTTCTCATTTCACTGAAGACCTATGAAAATGTAGTACAGATAAACACTGGCCCACAGGCTGGCATTTGAAAACTCCTCTTTGCCATACCCAACCTATCTCAAACTCTCTTTAAGAGCCTCCAGGTTGGGAGGCCAAGGCGGGCGGATCACTTGAGGTCAAGAGTTCGAGACCAGCCTGACCAACGTGGAGAAACCCCGTCTCTACTAAAAATACAAAATAAGCTGGGTGTGGTGGCGCATGCCTGTAATCCCAGCTGCTCGGGAGGCTGAGGCAGAAGAATTGCTTGAACCGGGGAGGCAGAGGTTGCCGTGAGCCGAGATCATGCCATTCATTGCACTCTCAGCCTGGGCAACAAGACCAAAAACTCCATCTCAAAAAAAAAAAAAAAGTCTCCAGGAAAAATTCTGTAGTCTCCTTTAAACCAAACTTTCTAATGGTCAATCCTACTCTCTGTCAGAAACTTCAATCTTCTGTGAAATTCCGTGACTCATATGTTGTAGCTTGTGATTTGTTTTAATTAACTTTAGTATATCCTCACTGCCAAACAAATAATAGATGCATAACTGCATATCAGATACTTTGCTTGTATAGCCTGCATAGAGTTAGGACACATGGGCTTTCCTGGATATTCCTAATACAATTTATCCATACATCAGATTTTTTTCTCTCTCACACAGAGTTATGAAACTTTGCTCCCACCAGCTAGCTTCATCCAAAATGCCCTCACCCTAGAATATCCTGAAGAGGTAAGACATTACTAGATAAAAAGTTGAATAATGCAAGAAGTAATAATTATTCAAATAACAATATAAAGAATGTCACAAGATAGCATATCATTAATTGCCAAATGAATGGCATTAAAAATCCATGCTTTGGTAACTCAGAATTAGTGGACACCTTTAATGTCTGTATTAACTTGTTCATAAGATAGCACATTACTGCTTTCATATATTTCTCCCCTATCTCTATTTCTATATTCCAACTTTCTAACTATTGTCTAACTCCTGATCTTAGGAGGAGTCTTTCTAACCTCCATGTCAAACATTTTTCCTTTTTTTCCTGTCTTGAGTCCTCCCAACTCCTCTGATCAAACCTCTCCACTTCTTAAGTGCACCCAACACAATTATTGCCATTAAGTACCTCCTGTTGTTTGCCATATTCTCTGTATCCTCTACAACTTCTCATGGACTCCCAATTACTGGCTTACCTGACAGCCCCTTTCTACCTTGTTCTGTGCTACTGTAAGATGCTGCTTCTGTCTTCTTCCTTGACTAAACTGTTCTTGGGTAGTCAAGCTCCATCTCCTAGCTCCCCATGCTTTCTCCACCTCCACCACATTTATTCTCTTATTTCACACATCTAGCCATACTAACTTTTAGTTACCATCCCTGTGATTTTTATAGAATTAAACTGCAGTTTTTAGCACTGGCCTAGCAGTCAGAAGACCTATGCTTAAGTCCTGAAGAGTCTTATATTGGCTAATGTTGAACGAATTACTGAATCGGTTATGACCACAGAATTAAAATGGTGGTACTAGACATTGGTACTATTAAAAATTGTATTACTTCATGAAATAAAAATTTGACAACCCTCTAAGGTAGCCTTTGCCCCTAACAGTAACATTAAAAACTATTTTTGGAAGTGTTGCTAGGACATGCACACTACATGTCTAACAATCCCTACGTTAGTGGGCATGGTGAGAGATAGGGGTAGAGAAATGATGCGGCTCAGTTTTTGCCAACTTTAGGTCCAGTAGGGCTTGAGGCTTGTGAGAGATGAGTTTGGAAGTCAGCAAGTGCTAAATCCTGGAGAGACGTGTCTTGACACAAACTACTGATTATAATAATAGGTAAGTTATTGAGTGTAACCAAATTAATACATCAACAAATGATGTGTGTGACTGCACTTTGTAAGTAAGTCAGGACAACCACTATTCTGCAGCTGATTAAATCCTACTGACGTTACACTTGGGTACCCGGTGCTTTTGGACAAGCAATGTAAGAGAAGTGATGGTATCTGGGGCTAGGTCATGGCCTGTCCCTGCCCCATGGAGGGCTTCTGCTCTCTGAGACTTTGTATTTTTACCTTAAGACAGAGAGCCTTTTTCTCTAGTTTCAAAAATTGTATGATATCAATGACAATTTTCAGTTTTTTAGTCCATTATCTTCAGTAACAACCTGTTAACTATTCACATCTATTCCTCTGTTGAAATTTCTAGTCCAGCATCACTTTTATTTATTTTAATAATTTATTTAAAACCATAAAATCCTTTTTCAATAAAATAATAACATAAATGTACTGTTGAGGAATTTTATTTCAATAATGCCAATTTAGCAATATTGTTATATTGGTACTACTTCATTGTGGTATGTATTCTTTGTCAGCTGTATAAGTGAGTATTCTTTCTCAAGAATAGAGATAGTTTTTCAGAGAGATATGCAATCAACATTATCAGGTTGATCATCTACAGCAAAAGGATCTCAATTTGGGGGGGGAATAAAATAAATTTATTTGATATTACTTATATGCAAAGATATATTGTTTCTTTGGAAAGAAAGGAATGCCATATAGCTTTTAAATTCATAGATAACTGCCCCCAAGTGATACTTGTCATGAATATAAATAAAATTGAAGAAGTCAGTTTGGTACATTAATAACCACCCAAGGGCAGCCAAATGTAAGGGGAACAATTCAGCCTCATATCCAAATGTTTTGTCTGAACAATGACAGACACATGGACATTTTAAATATTCAACATATGTAGAATGTTGAGGTTATCTAGTTAAAATAAGAGGATTGATTGCCCTCAAGAAAAATAAAAAGAAATCAATCAACTGGTCCTAGACATAAGCAATTAACAATTTAAAAGGAAACAATCATTCTTTTCAACCATATTCACATTTCTGAGAACTGTTTCTGAGTGAGCAATGATAGAAAAGGAATTTGACTTAGGCCAGGGAGCATGAGTTCTGGTCCCATATTTTCCAAGTACCAACCGTGTGACCTCAGGTAAAATTCTTTCTTGTTTAGGCATCATTTTCTACACATGCACATTTATAAATGAATGTAATCTTGTTAAAACCTAAATTGAATATGTCACTACTCTGCTGGAAACCCTCCAATGGCTTCCAAATGGAGTAAAGACCAGTCTTGCAGTAGCTGTTGAGGCTGTAGATCTGGCTTCCCATTTCTCCTCCTCCTCTCATCTCCCCGATTCTCACTTGCTCACTCTATCTCAGCCATGCTGGCCTCCAACAGACCATGCACACTCCCTCCTTTTCTCCCCTAGGTATTCATGGGTGTGGTTCATTTCTATACTTGCTTAATTCCTTACTTAAATGTCATATTTGCAATGGGGCAGCCCTATCCCAACATTTCTTATGCCCTTTCCAGCTCAATTTTTCTCCATGGCGCTAATAACCATCAAACATACTATACATTTTACAGGCTGTGATGGTTAATTTTAATGTGTCAACTTGACTGAGCTAAGGGATGCCCAGATAGCTGGTCAAACATTGTTTGTGGTTGAGTCTGTGAGAGTGTTTCCAGAAGAAAGCATTTGAATCTTTCTGAGTGAGTAGACTGAGTGAAAAAGATCCAACCTCTTCAATGCAGGTGAGAATCATTCAGTCATTGGGGCCCAGAGAGAACAAAAAAGTGGAGAAATGGATGAATCCTCTCTCTCTTCTTGAGCTGAGACATTTGTCTTCTCCTGCTATCTGACATGAGAGTTCCTGGTTCTTGGTCCCCTGGACTCCAGAATTACATCAGTGCCCTATCTTGTCCTCCCACCTCCCCAGTTTTCAGGCCTTCAGAATCAGACTGGGGGTTATACCATTGGCTCCCTTAGTTCTCAGGCCTTCAGACTGAATTACACAACCAGTTTTCTTAGTTTTCCAGCTTGCAGATGGCATATGGAAGGATATCTAGACCTCCATAATCACATGAACCAATTCTCATAATCTTCTTTTAGGTTCTGTTTCTGTGGAGAACCCAGAATAATATACTGGCTTATCTTGTTTATTGTCTGTCTTTCCTGATTGATTAGAATGAGAGCTCCACAAGGGCAGGGATTTTTATCTATTTTATTCACTATTGTTTTCTCAGCACCTAGAACCACACTTGGAACATAAAAGACACTCAACAAATATTTGTTGAATGAGTAGATGAATTAATATATGTCCTGAACATGTGTAGCTTGCCATACATCATGATGGTTGCTGAAAATCCAGAGGTGAATAAATTGGAATCCTAACCCTAGGGGAGGTCACAGACTGTTGGTGTAAGCCAGCCCTTACCTAAACAACCGGGCAAGTTTAATAAGATAGATGTTCCAACCTCCACATTGTAGTTACCTAACTAACTCTTCTACAGAAGGGACTGAGGAAGATTTCACGGAAGAAAGAATGTTTGAGCTGAGTTATATAGCAATTTATCAATTGGATGAGACTAGAGAGAGGTCTGTATAAAGGGAGGGAGGGGTCATGTATAAGGGCATTCCCTACATCACAGTGTTTTAAAAGTTAAAAAGAAATAGTGTATATGGAAGTGCTTTGCAAATTAATGCAACAATAGAGTGCAGTTCATCACTTGGTATCTGTTGGGGATTGGTTCCTGGACCTACCAAGGATACCAAAATTCACGGATGCTGAGGACTCTGATATAAAATGGGTAGTACTTGCACATAGCCTATGCACATCCTCCCATCTAGTTTAAATCATCTGCAGATTATTTATAATACCTAGTACAATGTAAATGCTATGTAGATATTATACTGTTTCATTTAGGAAATAATGACAAGAAAAAAGTCTGTACATGTTCCATACAGATGCAATTTTTAAAAATGTATTTTTGACTTGTGATTTGTTGAATTAATGGGTGCAGAACCCACAGACACAGAAGGCCAACTGTATATGTACTATTATTTACCTGTGTTAATTTTTTTCTTTTCCCAATGGCATCATCTCACAAGATATTCCATGATGCAACTTTGTGACAAAAGACAATAATATGCATTTGAATTTTATTGAAATAGCTTCTCAGAATTGAAATATTCATATTGGTCAAAGAATATATGTCAATGAACATATGAAATAGCATGCCTCAGCATTTTTAAATCTGTTTTTCAGTAATTAAAAGCTGTTATCTCTAATTTCTCAGGCTGAGAACAAATTAAGTAGGACACTGAAAAAAATTAGTCTTAAAATAAGCCATGCTATATTTCTCAAGTGTACAAATTGTTAATTAGAATTGGGAAGTGAACAGAAGGAGCTTAAAATAAAGACCTTCAATTTCAAATTAAAGCTGAAAATGGACCCATGTTTGGCACTGGCGTTAATAAAGAGCTAAGATTTATGGAGGCTGAAGTAGAAATAGATAATTTTAAAAATGTTTAAATAATTTTGATTTAATGTTTTTATACTTGATTGAAATGTGCATTTTTTAGGATTTTAAATATTTTAGAATATTTTTTAAGTGAGAAATTATTTTTATATTTTCACATTTACTTTACATTTTATAATGTATTTAAACTTTGTACACTTTGAAATCAATTGCATTTTGATTTCAGTAATTTAGATTAGGGTTCAGCAAATTATGCTTTGCAGACCACATCTGCCTGTCATGTGTTTTTATATAGCCTACAAAAGCTAAGAATGGGTTTGAGGGTTTTTCTCTTTAAAACATTTTTAAATAGTATTGGGAAAAATCAAAAGAGTAATAATATTTTTTGCATGTAAAATTTACATGAAATTCTGATTTTAATGTCTATAAATAAAACTTTCTTCAAACACAACCACAACCATTTGTGCAATTACATGTTGTTTACAGCTGCTTTCATTACAACAGCAAAGGTGAGTAGTGGCAACAGAAACCTTATAGTCCAAAATGCTGAGAATATTTACCACATATCTTTTATAGAAAAAGTTTGCTGACTCCTGCTTTAGATCATTACTGTCAATAGAGCACAAAAATAACTTCTTTTATAAGCAAATCATTTATCCATTTAAATTTAAATTTGTTTTTAATTTTTCTGAAAAAAGGGTATTTTATTTGCCCTAAAACAGAAAAACACAAGGCCACAGAAACATACCTTATTTTGAAATAGAAGAAAAAATTTAAAATATGCAAATATTTGAATTTGCATATGAATGTAGCTCTCTTAATATCCTCTACATACTTTTATTATAAATTGACAAATTGTAATTAATATATATTACAGTTATATACATATATGAATGTATACATATTATTCATATTATACAGTTAATACCAATTATACTATATACATATTATAGTATGTATTTACGGGATAAAAAGTGATGTTATAATTTATGAATATAATGTGGAATAATTAAATCAAGCTAATAGACATATCCATCACCTTAAATATTTATCAATTTTGAGGTGAGAACACTTGAAATTTACCCTCTTAGGGATTTTGACATGTATAATACATTATTATTTATTGTATTCATCAAGCTCTGAGTCTATCTCCAAGAAAATAGAGACTTTGTATCCTTTTGACCATCATCTCCCTATTTCCCTCAAATTCCCAGCCTCTGGTAATCCCCATTCTACTCTCTGCTTCTTTGGGTTTGTTTTAAGTTTCTACATGTAAATGAGAAGTTCATTCAGTATTTGTCTTTCTGTGGCTTATTTCACTTAGCAGAATGTTCTCCAATTCCATCCATGTTGTCACAAATTACAAAATTCCTTTCTTTTCTAAGGCTGGATAGTACATTGTGTATATATATATGTATATACACACACACACCACATTTTAAAAAATTATTCATTTGTTGATGGACATTTAGGTTGACTTCATAACTTGGCTACTATGAACACTGTTGCAATGAACAGGAGCATACAGACATTTCTTCCACATACTACATATCTTTTTGGGTAATACTCACAAGTAAGATTACTGGATCATATGATAATTCTATTTTTAATTTTTTGAGAAATCTCCACACAGTTTTCCATAATGGCTGTACTAATTTACATTCCCATTGAAATATTTTTAAATTTTGTTACTCTTCTAAATATCACGGATCCATGAATACAATATATAAAATCATAGCTTTACACATTTTTAAAAATTTTTATATTCTGACTGCATGTTTGATAATGGAGGAGGAATGAACATGTTAAAACATGTTCAATAGTTTGTTGACTTGATTTCCAGCTTTAAGTATTTAGACATAGGGTAGATGGGGCTCTATTTGTACTTTGCTCTGGACTCAGCAGTGTTAGTGGAGCTGAGAAAAGGAGCAAACAGGGATAAGCAGGAAGGGTAGAGGAGGTGAGCAGGGTGATGGCAAAGTACTGATTTAACAGAAAACACTTACTTAAAAAAAGAAATTGAGCAAATTAGAGTCAAAGAGGCATGCACATCTCTGTGCCCTGTGGGAATCTGTGGGTACTAATAAGTAGATTAGTTATAGGAAAAGCTTTTGTTTTTCTTCGGTCACTCCACATATCACGAAGAAGCAGGCAGAAGCACAGTAAGGTTATTAGTCATACTGTTACTTAATGATGAGACATGACAAAATCAATTCATGCACCAAAAATTATTAAGAATTTAGAAGTTACAGAAATATGTAATTTCACAGTTATCTATCATAATGACCTCCCAAGGAACTTTCAACCTTATGACTCTATTACTTAATAGATGTATTAATAGATATATTACTTAATATTGCTTGTGCCTGAGACTCATTTGTACAATCAACTAAGTATCTATTTGGTTCCAGATACTTCACTAGATCTGTGGACTAAAGTAATAGAAATAAGCAGTCCAGTCTGGTGGCCATTAGCCACATGTGGCTATAGAGCACTTCAGTTGTAGCTGGTCAAAACTGCCATGTGTTCTAAGTATAAAATGTACACTGAATTTCAAAGACTTACTATGAAAAAGAAGAATGTAGACTTTTTTGTTATAAACTATAAGTTTTTATATGTATTACATTTTGAAAAAACTAATATTTTAGATGTATTGGGTCATATTAAATGTCATTAAAATTAATTTTTCCTGTTCCTTTTTACCTTTTATAATGTGGCTAGTAAAAAATGCCAAATTACACCCATGGCTACCATTGTATTTCCACTGGACAATGTTGGAATAAAAGAGAGTGTCCTCAGGGAACTCACATTTTAGTCAGATCAATAAGTAAACAAGCAATGACAGGTGACCATCAAGTAAACATGAGCTGCTTTGACAGTATCCAAAGAAGATGCTCAGATGAGCCCAGGAGGGGCTCCAGAGGGAATCTGGAGTGAGAGGTGATGCCTGGGCTGAATTTTCACAGATGGGCAGGAGGCAACCTTCAGTCAGGTGGAGAACATTCCAGCTAGAGAATACAGCATGTGCAATGTCACAGCAGTTTGAAGTAGCTTCTCATATTTGGAAAACTATTAATAGTTTGATATAATGGCTGGGCGTGCTCACGCCTGTAATCACAGCACTTTGGGAGGCCGAGGCAGGTGGATCACGAGGTCAGGAGATGGAGACCATCCTGGCCAACATGGTGAAACCCTGTCTCTACTAAAAATACAAAAAAATTAGCCAGGCGTGGTGGCAGGTGCCTGTAGTCCCAGCTACTCAGGAGGCTGAGGCAGGAGAATCGCTTGAACCCGGGAGGCGGAGGTTGCAGTGAGCCGAGATCATGCCATTGCACTCCAGCCTGGGCAAAACTCCGTCTCAAAATAAATAAATAAATAAATAAATAAATAAACTGTTTGATACATTTAAAACTAGGATGGGTTTTTGGAGTTGGGAAAAGTAAAGCTAGACAGGCAGGAATCATCAATGAAAGGATTTGGAAGTCAGGCACTAAGGAAAACTTGGAGGAAATTTAGATCTGGTCTTTATCTAAAAATGTGCCCTTTTCCAATAATGTTGAAGAAGCACTTACAAGCTTTGGAATGAACCTTCTCCAAAACAGCCTAATGTGAATTCTAGAAATGATATTGATTGTTCCTTTGCAATTGTTCCATGAATCAACTAACTTAAAACTATTCAAACAGAGGAGGAGTGCCCAATGTTGTGTGGTATATGAAATATAAATAATGCTTAGAAAGGTGATGAAAAGCCAAAAAGCCCTGTTAGGTAACAGGGGAAAAAAGGTTTTCAGGAGGATGCAACCATTAGAAAAAGGCTACTTACTTCAGCTTGTAATTCACTAATTATTTATGCAAAAAGGAAGCAGTATTCTACCATCCAGCATACAGCTTTTCATGCTTTATGCAGTCTTCACGAGAAAGAGACAAATGACCATAACCTCAAGGACTTTGTAAATAAATCATGTTTCTGGGCCAGTTCTGCACTGGAAGTTGGTCAACCTGGCACAACCATTGTTTAGCTTTTGCCTGCAGAGTACTATTCTGCCAACAGCTGTGGCCACCTGCCTCCCCCCAAAAACTTCAACTTTACCCTTCATCCTGGAGCCAATTGATTCCTAAGTAAGGACCACTTTAAGGACCCCTAATTTAGCATGTTATTTGGCTTGATATCACTTCATATGTGTTCTTAACCTCAAATCCCAGGTCTGATAACTAGGCTTTGGAAAAGCACTTTACTTTGAACCTCAGTATCACCTGAATGGGCACCTGTCATTCTCTTTCATCACATCTGCCAAGTGCTGTGTTTCATATTCTTGGCCAGGCCTTCTCCCTTCTTTTTACCTCTCAGGCCTGTCCTACTCCAGTAAGCACACTGTGATTCTGGTACTTGCCCACCTCCTGGCCAGTGCACCGCAGCTTATGGGCCTGGACACCCCTACTTCTCCATCAGTAGCCCCAGTTTTGGGCTCCATATTGAAAATACTCACTGAGAAAAGCACGCTTTATAAGAACTCAGGAGAACTTGTGGCTTCTGTTGCAAAGGCTATTTTTAACCCTCGCTATTATAGTTTTTAAATGTGCTATCTGATTAATTTTGTAAGCTTGGATTCTCTCTTCACAGGCTAATTGACTCATTGTAATACCGAAGTTGAATCTTCAAAAGTGTCTGAATGCTTCAATTTTCACTTTATTCTTTCTCAGTTCTTTGGTTTTTTTGAACTAAAAAGTAGTCTTGATTGCCAGGGGTTGGAGGTAGATTAACCGTTCAGCTAGATTGTGGAAAAATGGAATGAGTAGTTCTAAAAGCCAAGCACCACCTCCTTTGATACAAATAGCCTATTCTCCTTACATGTCTATTAACTTGCTTAGTTTCCAATCAAGACTGGGTAGACAACTTTAGCTGGTCACCAAGGAGCCCAGTGTCTGATCCTGGGTCTCATTTACCAAAGAGCAACAGCCGGAATCACTGTCTTCCAAGTGCTTTCTTCATGGATGTACTTTGGGTTCTATAGGTTTACTCCAGTGGAGGACTGGATCTACTTTTCTTTTGCAAATGATTTGTTGTAATCTACAGACCTATGTCCCGCACGTGGAAAATAAAATTAAATAGGAAGAAGAGGCCATGGAGAATCTATTGCATTGTTCAGACTTCGGCTGAAGATGGCTGAAGGTTTCAGTCGTCTACTTTTGGTTAGTCATTTGAGATGCTGAGTGACTCCAGGAAGTGATGGTTTATGGGTAATGAAAGACAAATACTTCTCCTGGGGATTGTGAATCCTTTACATTCGAGTAATTTTAATTTTTTCATCTGGAACTAAATAATGCAAAATTAATTTCATATTTTTATCTCTTCATCATCCTGTGGTATTTAAACACTTTTTTAAAAGTGTCTTATTTATAAGCCTGCTTCTTAGGAGAAATCTTTACTGATTTAGAATTTATAAACCAAAAGAAGGGGTGCACAACCACAAAAAGAGTATAAGAGAGGAACAATAGAAGTGACCATGACCATCCAGACTCAGGAAGATGGACATGTACATCTTCTGTTCCTAATCATCAGGCACTGTCTTTGGTAAATTTGCTGCAAGGCCCTGTTATGTGGGAGCAGTGTGGAGCCAGAAAATAGGATAGGCTTTTGGAATGATTCACAGCATATGAAGGCAGAATTGATGACTCTCCCTGGAAAACAGGATATATTCGTAACAATAATGAAAACTCTTCAAATGCAAAAGTATTTTCTTAGGTGACTTCAGGCTGAAAAAAGGCTATCTTCAGTAGCCACATACATCTGTATTCTTATTACCTAATTTGTAGCACGTGGTGGAGCAGCCCAGGCAGTATTGAAGGTTAATCTCAGCATTAGTGTGGCATCAGTAATTCATTCTGTAGAGCTGGATCTTCCACTCAGGTTTAATGCATCAGACAATCAGTTCCAGTCACAATAAGGTGGCATGTAGAGGTATCTGGACAAAAAGAATAATTTCTTTATGAGGGTGTGTTGTTGATTTTTAAAGGTCTTTTCTAAGAGGTATAATATCAAACAGATCACTGACTCTTGGGTGGTTGTTTTTGTTGATGTTGTTGTTGTTTTAACTTTCAGAATATTTGGGATCTGTTAAATCTCATCTCTGACCAATCGCACAGACAAAAGCTCTTTAAGGAGGAAGAGGTAGTAAATCTGCATCTGTTATGTGATTGCTTAATTGGTGTCAAGCTACAGGCTCCTGACTCCCTTGTTTTTATGTCACACTCACACTTCACTCTTTGAACTCCCGGTATAGCACTCTCAGGAAGCCTCTTAGCTCTCTCAGGCAGAAAAGCAAGTAACTGAAAGCAACTCTGGAAGTTGGATATGTTCACCATCACCTGTTATTATCACGCAGACACAGCCTCTTGTAAAGGCTTTGTATCTGAGAAGTCTGCCTCTAAAGTCACTGTGGCAATTAATAATGCCCAAACCTAAATCAAAATTCCTATTGCTGCTCTTGCTGGTAATATAAGATTCTTCCTGTTTCTTTCATAAATTAGTTGATAACTGTCTCTGCTTCTCTGTTGAGTGAAAGGATTTTAATTACACAATGCACAGGAGCACAAAGCTTCATCTCCCGGCCAGTGGACAATGGAGGCTTGTGATAAAAGCACATTAAACCTTCATTGAGGTTGTTTACACATTTGTAACAGTGGCTGTGTTTGTCTCTGATAGCAGGGACAATAAATCAAAACCTTAGGATGTTCTTTTCATTAGCCAATGATTTTATAGCCTGTGGTGGCTTTTTAACCATCCATGCATAAATGGAGTGATATAATATGTAATTACTGGAAATAACTAGAATAACTAGGTGGGTTTTTTTGGTTTTTGTTTTTTTTTTTTGAGATAAAGTCTCACTGCAACACCCAGGCTGGAGTGCAGTGGCACGATCTTGGCTCACTACAACCTCCACCTTCCAGGTTCAAGCGATTCTCCTGCCTCAGCCTCCCGAGCAGCTGGGATTACAGGCACCCGCCACGATGCCTGGCTAATTTTTTGTACCTTTAGTAGAGACAGGGTTTCACCATGTTGGCCAGGCTGGTCTCAAACTCCTGACCTCAGGTGATCTGCCCACCTTGGCCTCCCAAAGTGCTGGGATAACAGGCGTGAGCCACCTTGCCCAGCCAATAACTAGTTTTAATTCCCCCAACAGATATTTAGGGCTTTCATATGATTCTGAAGATTTATGTAGTGCATTGATGAGTGTGCAACACTAATCACCCCTATTAGTGTGCAACACCTACAAGTTCCATAGACTTTTTCCTCAGGCCTTTAATGGGGATTACATTATTCTTCTAACTCAGAGTTATGGACACCATAGTGGCAATGTTGATCTCAACCACATGACAAAAAGAAAAGCTGCCTGGCTTCCTGGGGAAACAGTTGGGTGGGAAAAAGAAGGTCAGTGCCTTCAACTCTGAGAAGAAATATGGAGAGAGGACTCTCTGGGAAAATGAGAGAGGTCCGTGTTCTCGCCTAGCTCTACCATGTACTATGCATGAAAGAAATCAAGAATGCTGTGGCCCATTTGAAGTACTCAACTATATTTTCTCTTTGTTTTCTAGCAGGGAGTCACAAATACAATTTTGCATTGCAGAGCCCTAGTTCGATGCCTAAGATGTGGATTTAATTTTAACTAAGATCCAAATGTAACAATGTTAGAGAAAATACAGCAGAAAGGAAAAAATTTAAAAACTATATCTAGTTTGTAATGCTGAGTAAAGTTGCCTTGAGTGTCCAAAAGTTCCTGGAAATATTTGTGAAGTTCTTTCATTGAAAAAACTTGACTTTTAAAGATAGGCAGTCCTACACTCCCAAGAAGGTGATTGACAGCACAAATCCCATTCATCGATGGGCATTGGGTTGTACAGTCTTTCTCCCTCTTCTAGCTCTTGCAGTATCACCACCACATCAGGAAACAGCTGTCGGTTGCTTTGTTTTCCATCAGTTGTTGATGTGTTGAAGGCTGACATAGTTTCAATTTATGTGTTTTCTTTCCATAAGAGTCACTAGTGATATGTAGGCCACCCAAATTCTAGACATGACATGGTCAGATAGAACTTATTTCTTTTCGTAAAAAATAAGATTAATTCTGCTTTTAATCTTCCTTATGTCATTGTTATACTAGTACCATTATTATATTAACATAAAACATTAATGGTAATATTAAAATATAGCTTTATACAATAATATATGATGGTCATTAATACTAGTATATTGCATTTATAATAATATCTCTATTTGCTTAGCACCTGCCAAGTGCCAGGCTTTATATACATTGTTTAAAATCTTCACAGCATCCAAACAAGATGGAAATTATTGTCCCAGGGTTACAGATGAAGAAAAAGAATGAGGCCCAAAGAGATTTAGCAACTTTTTCAGTGCCACATAGCTAGTAATTAGCACAGCTAAGATTCAAATACCGTATGGTCTGACTCCAAAACTCAAGTAGTTTTTATCATATCATACTGCATCTCTTTCTCAAGCAGTGGACCACGCTCTAGTAAAAGACGTGTTGTATATGGAAAAACACAGTCTGCAGCAGCTCATAACAGAGCTTAAAGAGTGGTTGCTATTTTAGTCTCTGTTAATGCTATAAATGTGCAAATAAGTGTCACCTTCATGTGGGCAAATTTTAACTACCTCATGAACTGCATTTACAAGGAGATGCTTAATTTACTACAGTTTGTTTATGAGTGCTCTTGTGTGAGGTGAATCATTTAGGGCAGTTTATTTTTAGAGTTACACAAGGAGTGGATTAAAAAAATACCCGCTCAAACAAGAATGTCAAGCAAATTTAGCTTGAAACACGAGGTAGACATAGTGTACTAAGAGGGCTGAGAATAAACTTTTGAACTTAAAGAGTCCTGATTCCTGTTTGTAACCCTGATGCACAGATCACTGGCTTGTATTTCACAATATCAACTTTTCAGTAAATGGAAGCTTTCTCTTTTAAAAACTCTGAATTAAATCTTATTTACAATAGATTTGCATTGTTCAAAAAAAAAGTTTTTAGTATATTTAGTTTAGGCCAAAAAACCTGGAGTCATCCTCGACACCTTTTGTCTTATATCACATATCTAATCAATCCATCCAAAAACCCTTGATGGTGGCCCTTAAAGATTTATGGAGAATATGAACACTTCTTCCCAGCTCTACAGTTACACCCTGGTCTCAGCCATCATCATTTCTCACCTGGATTTCTTTTTCTTCTTCTTTTTTTTTTGTACACTCCATTACCAAGGCTGGAGTGCAGTGGCATGATCTTGGCTCACTGCAACCTCCACCTCCTGGGTTCGAGAGATTCTTGTGCCCCAGCCTCCCAAGCAGCTGGGACTATAGGCATGCACCACCATGCCTGGCTAATTTTTTATATTTTTAGTAGAGACGGGTTTCACCATGTTGGCCAGGCTGGTCTCGAACTCTTGGTCTCTCAAGTGATCTGCCCACCTCAGCTTCCCAAAGTGCTAAGATTACAGGCGTGAGCCACTGTGTCCAGCCATTTGCCTGGATTTCTGTAATATCCTTTGAACAGGTCTCCTTGCTTCACAGCTTTCTTGGTCACTATAGCGTGGGAAAAAGAGAGCTGGAGAGTTGAGCTGTAGCCATAAATGCTTCGGCCTAATAGTGACACATATCACTTCTACTCATTCTTTTTTCCATTTGACTAGAATAAGTCACATAGCCACACTTACTTTTTTTTTTTTTAGTTCATTTTATTATTACTATACTTTAAGTTTTAGGGTACATGTGCACAATGTGCAGGTTAATTACACATGTATACATGTGCCATGCTGGTGTGCTGCACCCATTAACTCCTCATTTAGCATTAGGTATTCTCCTAATGCTATCCCTCCCCCCTCACCCCACCCCACAACAGTCCCCAGAGTGTGATGTTCCCCTTCATGTGTCCATGTGTTCTCATTGTTCATTTCCCACCTATGAGTGAGAATATGCGGTGTTTGATTTTTTGTTCTTGCGATAGTTTACTGAGAATGATGATTTCCAATTTCATCCATGTCCTTACAAAGGACATGAACTCATCATTTTTTATGGCTGCATAGTATTCCATGGTGTATATGTGCCACATTTTCTTAATCCAGTCTATCATTGTTGGATATTTGGGTTGGTCCCAAGTTTTGCTATTGTGAATAGAGCCGCAATAAACATACGTGTGCATGTGTCTTTATAGCAGCATGATTTATAATCCTTTGGGTATATACCCAGTAATGGGATGGCTGGGTCAAATGGTATTTCTAGTTCTAGATCCCTGAGGAATCGCCACACTGACTTCCACAATGGTTGAACTAGTTTACAGTCCCACCAACAGTGTAAAAGTGTTCCTATTTCTCCACATCCTCTCCAGCACCTGCTGTTTCTTGACCTTTTAATGATTGCCATTCTAACTGGTGTGAGATGGTATCTCATTGTGGTTTTGATTTGCATTTCTATGATGGCCAGTGATGGTGAGCATTTTTGCATGTCTTTTTTGGCTGCATTAATGTCTTCTTTTGAGAAATGTCTGTTCATGTCCTTTGCCCACTTTTTGATGGGGTTGTTTGTTTTTTTCTTGTAAATTTGTTTGAGTTCATTGTAGATTCTGGATATTAGCCCTTTGTCAGATGAGTAGGTTGAGAAAATTTTCTCCCATTTTGTAGGTTGCCTGTTCACTCTGACGGTAGCTTCTTTTGCTGTGCAAAAGCTCTTTAGTTTAATTAGGTCCCATTTGTCAATTTTGGCTTTTGTTGCCATTGCTTTTGGTGTTTTAGACATGAAGTCCTTGCCCATGCCTATGTCCTGAATGGTATTGCCTAGGTTTTCTTCTAGGGTTTTTATGGTTTTAGGTCTAACATGTAAGTCTTTAATCCATCTTGAATTAATTTTTGTATAAGATGTAAGGAAGGGATCCAGTTTCAGCTTTCTACATATGGCTAGCCAGTTTTCCCAGCACCATTTATTAAATAGGGAATCCTTTCCCCATTGCTTGTTTTTCTCAGGTTTGTCAAAGATCAGATAGTTGTAGATATGCGGCGTTATTTCTGAGGGCTCTATTCTGTTCCATTGATCTATATCTCTCTTTTGGTACCAGTACCATGCTGTTTTGGTTACTGTAGCCTTGTAGTATAGTTTGAAGTCAGGTAGTGTGATGCCTCCAGCTTTGTTCTTTTGGCTTAGGATTGACTTGGCAATGCGGGCTCTTTTTTGGTTCCATATGAACTTTAAAGTAGTTTTTTCCAATTCTGTGAAGAAAGTCATAGGTAGCTTGATGGGGATGGCATTGAATCTATAAATTACCTTGGGCAGTATGGCCATTTTCATGATATTGATTCTTCCTACCCATGAGCATGGAATGTTCTTCCATTTGTTTGTATCCTCTTTTATTTCATTGAGCAGTAGTTTGTAGTTCTCCTTGAAGAGGTCCTTCACATCCCTTGTAAGTTGGATTCCTAGGTATTTTATTCTCTTTGAAGCAATTGTGAATGGGAGTTCACTCATGATTTGGCTCTCTGTTTGTCTGTGATTGGTGTATAAGAATGCTTGTGATTTTTGCACATTGATTTTCTATCCTGATACTTTGCTGAAGTTGCTTATCAGCTTAAGGAGATTTTGGGCTGAGACAATGGGGTTTTCTAGATATACAATCATGTCATCTGCAAAGAGGGACAATTTGACTTCCTCTTTTCCTAATTGAATACCCTTTATTTCCTTCTCCTGCCTAATTGCCCTGGCCAGCACTTCCAACACTATGTTGAATAGGAGTGGTGAGAGAGGGCATCCCTGTCTTGTGCCAGTTTTCAAAGGGAATGCTTCCAGTTTTTGCCCATTCAGTATGATATTGGCTGTGGGTTTGTCATAGATAGCTCTTATTATTTTGAGATACGTCCCATCAATACCTAACTTATTGAGAGTTTTTAGCATGAAGCGTTGTTGAATTTTGTCAAAGGCCTTTTCTGCATCTATTGAGATAATTATGTGGTTTTTGTCTTTGGTTCTGTTTATATGCTGGATTATGTTTATTGATTTGTGTATATTGAACCAGCCTTGCATCCCAGGGATGAAGCCCACTTGATCATGGTGGATAAGCTTTTTGATGCACTGCTGGATTCGGTTTGCCAGTATTTTATTGAGGATTTTTGCATCAATGTTCATCAAGGATATTGGTCTAAAATTCTCTTTTTTGGTTGTGTCTCTGCCTGGCTGTGGTATCAGGATGATGCTGCCCTCATAAAATGAGTTAGGGAGGATTCCCTCTTTTTCTATTGATTGGAATAGTTTCAGAAGGAATAGTACCAGTTCCTCCTTGTACCTCTGGTAGAATTCGGCTGTGAATCCATCTGGTTCTGGACTCTTTTTGGTTGGTAAGCTATTGATTATTGCCACAATTTCAGAGCCTGTTATTGGTCTGTTCAGAGATTCAACTTCTTCCTGGTTTAGTCTTGGGAGGGTGTATTTGTCAAGGAATTTATCCATTTCTTCTAGATTTTCTAGTTTATTTGCATAGAGGTGTTTGTAATATTCTCTGATGGTAGTTTTTGTATTTCTGTGGGATCGGTGGTGATATCCCCTTTATCATTTTTTATTGCATCTATTTGATTCTTCTCTCTTTTCTTCTTTATTAGTCTTGCTAGCGGTCTATCAATTTTGTTGATCCTTTCAAAAAACCAGCTCAGGAGCCGGGAATTGTAATCTTTTTAATCAGAAATAGAGAACTAGATACAAGTGAACATAAGTATTGATACCACAACTTAGATCTAAGCCACTTGGTGATGAAGGGAAAAAGTGAAAGTTTAAATTGCTCTCTCTGCCTAATAAGATCACACCAGTTCATAAGAGAGAAAAGCTTTTACCCACATCTTGCATAATAAACAACAGTTGAACAACCGCACATGATGGCTTATGCCTGTAATCCCAGCACTTTGGGAGGCTGAGTTGGGCAGATCAGTTGAGGCCAGGAGTTCGAGACCAGCCTGGCCAACATGGCAAAATCCAGTCTCTACTAAAAATAGAAAAATTAGCAGGTATGGTGGCGTATGCCTATAGTTCTAGCTACTCAGGAGGCTGAGGTATGAGAATTGCTTGAACCTGGGAGGTAGAGGGTGCAGCAAGCCGAGATCACACTACTGTACTTCAGCCTGGGAGATAGATCAAGAGCAAGACTCTGCAAACAAACAAACAAACAAAAAAAAAAAAACCAAAAAAAAAAAAAACCCAGAAATAATCAGCACTATCTAATCCAGGCAACAAACACTTGCCAAAAATGAAACACTTGTTCAAAAATGAACACTTTCTTATTGTAGGGTATTTTAGAGCATTTTTAAAATTATACTTTAAGTTCTGGGATACATGTGCAGAACGTGCAGGTTTGTTACATAGGTATACATGTGCCATGGTGGTTTGCTGCACCCATCAACTACATTAGGTATTTCTCCTAATGCTATCCCTCCCCTAGCCCCCCATCCCCTGACAGGCCCCGGTGTGTGATGTTCCCCTCCCTGTGTCCACGTGTCCTCATTATTCAACTCCCACTTATGAGTGAGAACATGCAGTGTTTGGTTTTCTATTCTTGGGTAAGTTTGCTGAGAATGATGGTTTCCAGTTTTATCCATGTCCCTGCAAAGTACATGAACTCATCCTTTTTTATGGCTGCATAGTATTCTATGGTGTATATGTGCCACATTTTCTTTATCTAGTCTATCATTGATGGGCATCTGGGTTGGTTCCAAGTCTTGGCTATTGTGAGCAGTGCCACTACAAACATACGTGTGCATGTGTCTTTATAGTAGCATGATTTATAATCCCTTGGGTATATACCAAGTAATGGGATGGCTGGGTCAAATGGTATTTCTGGTTCTAGATCCTTGAGAAATCATCACACTGTCACAATTGCTACAAAGAGAATAAAATACCTAGGAATACAATTTACAAGAGATGTGAAGGACCTCTTCAAGGGGAACTACAAACCACTGCTCAAGGAAATAAGAGAGGACACAAACAAATGGAAAAACATTCCACGCTCGTGGATACACGCTCATGGATAGGAAGAATCAATATCGTGAAAATGAACATACTGCCCAAAGTAACTTACAGATTCAATGCTATCCCAATCAAACTACCATTGACTTTCTTCACAGTATTGAAAAAAATACTTTAAATTTCATATGGAACCAAAAAAGAGCCCACATAGCCAAGACAATCCTAATAAAAAGAACAAAGCTGGAGACATCATGCTACCTGATTTCAAACTATACTACAAGGCTACAGTAACCAACACAGCATGGTACTGGTACCAAAACAGATATATAGAGCATTTTTTAAAATGGGCTTAGTTAGTTCACTTTACTTTTCTTGTATAAAAACACTATGTCATGGCCATAGCTAGAACTTGGGTCCTGTGTGTGGAAACTTGTGTGGTCTTTACAAGATGGTCAGTGAATTCTTCATGGAGAGACTTGGCAACAGTCTCTTTCCAGAGGTCAGGCATCAGATAGCTGTAGGTCTTGGAGATGGCATCAAAGGTAGCCTTGGTAAAGTTGCCTAGGGTGGCAGTGCAGCCCTGATCAAGGTGTAGCAGTCATTGACACTGGCCATCATCAGTAGCTTCTTAGGCAAAGGGGCAGAGACATTGCCAGTGCATCTGAGGGCAGAGATGAGGCACACCAGCACAGGGCCAAAGTGGTCAGTCACTCCACAAGGAATGATGTGGAGCATACCAATCTTATTCCCCAATAGCTTCTGCATGGGGAAAATGGAGAGCTTGGCCAGGGTGATGGACCCTCAGATGGCAGTGGCTACCTCCCTGAAACATTTAACACCCAGATGATGTGGCCACTGTACCTGGTCCACTGGCCAGCAAGAGTCTGCTTTTGCATGGGCATAATCTTTAAATTTTCATCCTTGAGGGATGCCCCCAGGAAAAAGTCAATTATCTCAGCATTTTTATGGGCAGGGAGAAGAGATAGATCTCTTCCAGGGACTTGATCTTCATGTCCTTGACCAGGAAGCCCAGCTTGGTGACTGGGAGCCACTCACCTCTGTCTTGCTTCTGTGAGCTCTGCAGGCTCCCAGACCCTCCCGCAGTCCTGGTGTTATTTGCCCTTTGGTGTTCTATCAGACAGGCAGCTCTTTAGAGTATTTTTGACCAATGAATTCAGATACTTCTTAAGGGCACTATTGAATTATCCAATACATCAAGAATTGGCACACATTTTCTTTAAAAGTCCGTATAGTAAAATATTTTAGGCTTTCCAGGCTGCATGGTCTTGCTAGTGACTATACAACTCTGCCATTGCAGTGCATAATGGTCAAACACCATACATAAATAATTGAGCATGTGTTCTTACACACACACCACACAAACAGATACACACATTATACACAAAAATGGTGGTGAGCTTAAACTGGGCCATGGGCTGAGCTGTAGTTTGCTGATCCCTGTAATACACCATCCACATACCAGTGCTTACTCTAAGTAATATCAAGTGATATCAGTATAGACTTTAAAGGGAGTGGACAGAAAATTCAGTTATCTCAATAGTTGCCATTTTTGCCATATAAATTTATTTCTGAAAAAAATAGAAGAGCTATTAGAAACATAAGAAATTATTCAGTTAATGACAAAATATTAAGGTAATTTCCGCTAGGCTTGAAGTAAAGAACATGAAAAGAATGCCTGGTACACATTCATTATTCAGTGATGATGATTAGGCAGTGGAATAAAAAAGCAAAAAATGTGGAATAAATATTGGAAAGAAGGAGAGCAAATTATAATTTTTTTATAAGGAGTATGAAACTCTACCTGGAATATCTAAGACTATCAACTGCAAAACTTGTAAAATTAGAAAATCAACAATAAGGTAAACATTAAGAAACAATTGCTTTGCTATATACCACCAATTGCACTTAGAAAATGTAATAGTAAAGATTTTACTAACAATAAGCCAGAAATTTAAAATGCCAAGGAGTAAATTAAGAAACATGTAAAACCTAAATGAAGGGACCACAAAATTTTTCTGAAGGACATAAAATACTACCAAGAATAATGAAGTGGTTGTTGAGTTTCTAGATAAAAGATTTAGTAATTTTAAAATGTCAATTTTCCTTATATATATTTATGAATTTAATGTAAGCCACTCAAAATTCCTACAAATCTTTTGTGGAAGTGGACAAGTGATTTTAAAATTCTGTGGGAAGATAAAATGTGAAGACAGAATTAAGCAAAATGTGAAAAAGAGGAACATTGAGGGACACTTGCCTTTCCAAATATCAGAATTTCTGTAAGGTCACTGTAATTTAAAGTGTTCTGTAGTTTTGAAAAATAAACAATAGATCAATGATACAGAATATGGACTTCACAGGTTAACTCATATAAAAAGAAATTTGTAATAAAGATAATATTTCAACTCGGGAAATGGATAAACTATTTCATAAAGTATCTTGAAACAATCATTTTATTCATTTGAAAACAAGCATAAATCTTCATCCTTTCCTCATGCCATATATAAAATAAATTCCAGATGGCCTAACAATCTAAATATACGAATTTATTAAAGCATTAGAAAATATTTTACAAGCTCAGGCTAGGAAATGTCTTTCGTAAGACACCATACAATCCTGGACCCAAGAAGGAAAATACTGAGATATTTTATCTAAATAGGGTATATGGGTGTGTGGGTGTGGGTGGGCGTGTGTGTGTGGACACAATATATAATATGCAGCAATTCATATTTTGGCAAAGGCTTAATATCTCCAATATAGAAAAGGCTCCTAAAATTCATTGAAATTAGAAAGTATATTTTTTCCAAAAAAATGAACAAAGTCTACATATATTTAATATTTTCTTACATGGCAGGGGGTATTTTTAAAGCATCTTATTTATTTAATCCTCACAAAAATTTTATTTTATATATTTTTTCCAAACATTACTAATCATTTTAGAAAAGCATGTTAAAAATGTTCCTCTATCTGATGGATGAAAGTTTTAAAGACTCAGAATATGAAGTGTTAGCAAGGTTTGGGGATAAGATTACCCTCATCTACATAGGGGGAATAAGCACAGAATTTTTGGAGGACAATTTGGCTGCTTGGTCACTCTTTAAAATGATCATGACTTTTGACTTAGCAATTCCACTTATAGAAAATTCTCCTGCATAAATACTTGCATATATGTATTAAAATACATGCATAAGGATAATTAGAGAAGTATTGTTTCTGATAGAAAAAAATGGAACAATAATGTTGCAGTGCATTACTGTTACAAACCAAGAATAAGACAGAGAAATGTGATTACTCTTTTACCTTAAATTGTTTGAAAAAATTTGCCCAAGAGTTGGAAACAGGCAAAAGAGGTTTCTGGATATTCTTCCAATGGAGTAGAGTTGTCCATGGTGACTCTACATGAATGATCTGATTCCATAAGGTGGGTGCAACTTTTTCATTCTATTAAGTAAGCTATTTTATAACTGAAATGGTAGAAGTTTTAGAAACAGATATTAATGCAAATGATTCCTGTTCATAGGAATGCAAATGAATTACTCCATATAAATACAATCGACTTGGGCCTTATGGAAAAAGATAATCTCAAACATAAAATTTAATTGCTCCATGGAATATTAAGCAGTTTTACATTTATTAACAAATTATATTTCACAATCCTGATTGCATATATATATATAAAATGTTTGTTCTTCAATTTGGCCTTTGAACTTGTTATTTAACCATTATTTAACATATTATTGACTCCCTGATTAATTTATGAATTTAGAACAAACTTTGATGTGATTGTTTTATATTTGCATGAGAGTCAGGATAGGACTTTTGTGAAAGTTATAGATCAGTACAATACTAAAGTGGTTAACTTTTATGAGACAAGAAGTTCTTTATTGCATGGTCTTGGCTATGGCTGTAACCATTTTTTCTTATTTAAAATCAAAATGGATTTTATTATGCCCTGGACAAGAATTAGATTCTATTTAGTGATACTGTTGAACTCTAGGTTGGGATAATTATGAGGCTTATCTGTTATACATGAAAACAAGAAACGTTTTCTGGACGTTCTGTGTCATCTTATCTCAAGGTCCTTCAACACAGATCTAAGATAAAATTTATGCTAAAAGAGAAGGGGATTATGGACACGAAAAAAATTGAGGCATTCTAGTGAACTTATTTAAAAAAACAAAACCAAACAAACCTCAGCTTCTGTGAAAGTTAACATATTAAGAATAGCCCTTAAAATATTTTTTAATTTTTAAAATTCTTAAATTTTTTCCCCTTTACCAAGGTAAAATGCATCATCATATTAAATTTCAACAAAACAGACTCTTGCCCTGTTCTATCCATTTGGCCACATGTGGGTTATCAACATTGGTATTTGTTGAGGCAGAAGTGAAGGCACAATTGTGTAGACTTTGTCATGCAGCCAATTCATTCATTCTTCTTGCCACATAAGCAATGCCTCAGGGAGAGAAAAAAATTAAGGTGCTTAAGGAAAGGAAACAAAAAAACAGAACTCAATCTGTACAGCTCAGTGAAGTACCACTTGCTTTATCCTTTCATACAATCAGTTAATCACCCTATAAAATGCTGAAATCATCAGAGCCTGAGCTGAAACAGTGAGTTCAATTTTTTTCTCTCCTTTAAATGTCTCCTTTTCAGTTATACAGTATTTTATGAAAAACTGATGTCTTGGTAGTCAACATGATGAATGTGGGGACACGCAGGGAATAGTTTAAGGAGTTTGTTTTAACAGTTATGCATTTAAATTGTCCCATTATAGTGGACATGTTTCTACTGCCAACAAAAAATCAGTTCTTAAAGATCCAGTTCTCCTAGAGTTTTTTTACTGCTTTCAATCATTTTGATAGCAATCCTGATGAATTCATGAATTAAAATTATTTCATCCAAATGTTAGATTTCAAGGTGGCAGTTCAGGGTCTTCTTTTCTTGTATTGCAGGGACTTAACATATAATACTAAAGACATTTTGAGTTAAAAATATGATATATTCTCTAAGGAAAACCTTTAGATATCTAGGTACAGTGGGGCTAAAAATATGATATATTCTCTAAGGAAAACCTTTAGATATCTAGGCGCAGTGGGGCATTTGCCTGAAAGCAATTAAGTTTTACAATGTATATCTGTATAAAAACCATTCCTGCTACTCAATGTACTTTTGTTTCAGTCTAGTTCTTAAGTCAAGGTCCTAGCCTCAGAACCTGTTCCTAATAGCTGCACAAGAATTTATTGAATCAATGAGCACATAGAAAACATTATGCATTATTCTGTTCCATCAGTGGGAGAACAAAGATAAATTCTTTTTATTTCTCTTTGCCCTTCTTTGCCTACTTACCCCCAAATCATGAATTTACACAATAACATAGCTGGATCTTAACAACCATTAAAGTCAATTTCTATACTTTACAGATGGAGCATCTGAGGCTTGGAGTTTTGAAGGGGCTTACCCATGTCTACACAGCAAGTTAATGGCATAACAGCCAGATGCAAATCCATGCCTTCCAGCTGTAAATCCAATGACACTCATTATGTCAGACTGTGTTTTTGGGTTTGGTGTGTTTCCATAACATCAGTAAAGGTTAGAGCGAGACTCTGGCAACCTGTCCAGGTCTTTTGGCTTTTTTTCCTTCTGGAGGGAAAAGAGAAAGGTCCTAAAAGACTTTTTGGTGTTTGTTTGTTTTTTCTTTCACTGCCCACATCTTTGGAAGCACCTCAGAGTTGGCAAACATCCCCTTAGTTGCCTGTCATCAGCTTTAGTTATTTCATTCACACAAGCAGAGTCATTTCTGAGCTTTCCACAAAGCAGTGCTACTGTCAACACAATCAGGCCAGAGTCAAAGTACTATTCTATGATTACATGTAAACATGGCTGAGATTTAAGAAAATGTTCTTGCCAGCACTCTTTTTTTCCTTTTATTATTATACTTTAAGTTTTAGGGTACATGTGCACATTGTGCAGGTTAGTTACATATGTATACAAGTGCCATGCTGGTGCGCTGCACCCACTAACTCGTCATCTAGCATTAGGTATATCTCCAAATGCTATCCCTCCCCCCTCACCCCACCCCACAACAGGCCCCAGAGTGTGTTCCCCTTCCTGCGTCCATGTGATCTCATTGTTCAGTTCCCACCTATGAGTGAGAACATGCGGTGTTTGTTTGGTTTTTTGTTCTTGTGATAGTTTACTGAGAATGATGATTTCCAATTTCATCCATGTCCCTACAAAGGACATGAACTCATCATTTTTTATGGCTGCATAGTATTCCATGGTGTATATGTGCCACATTTTCTTAATCCAGTCTATCATTGTTGGACATTTGGGTTGGTTCCAAGTCTTTGCTATTGTGAATAGAGCCGCAATAAACATACGTGTGCATGTGTCTTTATAGCAGCATGATTTGTAGTCCTTTGGGTATATACCCAGTAATGGGATGGCTGGGTCAAATGGTATTTCTAGTTCTAGATGCCTGAGGAATCGCCACACTGACTTCCACAATGGATGAACTAGTTTACAGTCCCACCAACAGTGTAAAAGTGTTCCTACCTCTCCACGTCCTCTCCAGCACCTGTTGTTTCCTGACTTTTTAATGATTGCCATTCTAACTGGTGTGAGATGGTATCTCATTGTGGTTTTGGTTTGCATTTCTCTGATGGCCAGTGATGATGAGCATTTTTTCATGTGTCTTTTGGCTGCATAAATGTCTTCTTTTGAGAAGTATCTGTTCATGTCCTTTGCCCACTTTTTGATGGGGTTGTTTGTTTTTTTCTTGTAAATTTGTTTGAGTTCATTGTAGATTCTGGATATTAGCCCTTTGTCAGATGAGTAGGCTGAGAAAATTTTCTCCCATTTTGTAGGTTGCCTGTTCACTCTGATGGTAGTTTCTTTTGCTGTGTAGAAGCTCTTTAGTTTAATTAGATCCCATTTGTCAATTTTGGCTTTTCTTGCCATTGCTTTTGGTGTTTTAGACATGAAGTCCTTGCCCATGCCTATGTCCTGAATGGTAATGCCTAGGTTTTCTTCTAGGGTTTTTATGGTTTTAGGTCTAACATGTAAGTCTTTAATCCATCTTGAATTGATTTTTGTATAAGGTGTAAGGGAGGGATCCAGTTTCAGCTTTCTACATATGGCTAGCCAGTTTTCCCAGCACCATTTATTAAATAGGGAATCCTTTCCCCATTGCTTGTTTTTCTCAGGTTTGTCAAAGATCAGATAGTTGTAGATATGTGGCGTTATTTCTGAGGGCTCTGTTCTGTTCCATTGATCTATATATCTGTTTTGGTACCAGTACCATGCTGTTTTGGTTACTGTAGCCTTGTAGTATAGTTTGAAGTCAGGTAGTGTGATGCCTCCAGCTTTGTTCTTTTGGCTTAGGATTGACTTGGCGATGCGGGCTCTTTTTTGGTTCCATATGAACTTTAAAGTAGTTTTTGCCAATTCCATGAAGAAAGTCATTGGTAGCTTGATGGGGATGGCATTGAATCTGTAAATTACCTTGGGCAGTATGGCCATTTTCACGATATTGATTCTTCCTACCCATGAGCATGGGATGTTCTTCCATTTGTTTGTATCCTCTTTTATCTCATTGAGCAATGGTTTGTAGTTCTCCTTGAAGATGTCCTTCACATCCCTTGTAAGTTGGATTCCTAGGTATTTTATTCTCTTTGAAGCAATTGTGAATGGGAGTTCACTCATGATTTGGCTCTTTGTTTGTCTGTTGTTGGTGTATAAGAATGCTTGTGATTTTTGTACATTGATTTTGTATCCTGACACTTTGCTGAAGTTGCTTATCAGCTTAAGGAGATTTTGGGCTGAGACAATGGGGTTTTCTAGATATACAATCATGTCGTCTGCAAACAGGGACAATTTGATTTCCTCTTTTCCTAACTAAATACCCTTTATTTCCTTCTCCTGCCTAATTGCTCTGGCCAGAACTTCCAACACTATGTTGAATAGGAGTGGTGAGAGAGGGCATCCCTGTCTTGTGCCAGTTTTCAAAGGGAATGCTTCCAGTGTTTGCCCATTCAGTATGATATTGGCTGTGGGTTTGTCATAGATAGCTCTTATTATTTTGAAATAGGTCCCATCAATACCTAATTTATTGAGAGTTTTTAGCATGAAGGGTTGTTGAATTTTGTCAAAGGCCTTTTCTGCATCTATTGAAATAATCATGTGGTTTTTGTCTTTGGCTCTGTTTATATGCTGGATTACATTTATTGATTTGCGTATATTGAACCAGCCTTGCATCCCAGGGATGAAGCCCACTTGATCATGGTGGATAAGCTTTTTGATGTGCTGCTGGATTGGTTTTGCCAGTATTTTATTGAGGATTTTTGCATCAATATTCATCAAGGATAGTGATCTAAAATTCTCTTTTTTGGTTGTGTCTCTGCCCGGCTTTGGTATCAGAATGATGCTGGCCTCATAAAATGAGTTAGGGAGGATTCCCTCTTTTTCTATTGATTGGAATAGTTTCAGAAGGAATGGTACCAGTTCCTCCTTGTACCTCTGGTAGAATTCGGCTGTGAATCCGTCTGGGCCTGGACTCTTTTTGGTTGGTAAGCTATTGATTATTTTCACAAATTCAGATCCTGTTATTGGTCTATTCAGAGATTCAACTTATTCCTTGTTTAGTCTTGGTAGAGTGTATGTGTCGAGGAATTTATCCATTTCTTGTAGATTTTCTAGTTTATTTGCATAGAGGTGTTTGTTTGTAGTATTCTCTGATGGTAGTTTGTATTTCTGTGGGATCGGTGGTGATATCCCCTTTATCATTTTTTATTGCATCTATTTGATTCTTCTCTCTTTTTTTCTTTATTAGTCTTGCTAGCGGTCTATCTATTTTGTTGATCCTTTCAAAACACCAGCTCCTAGATTCATTAATTTTTTGAAGGGTTTTTTGTGTCTCTATTTCCTTCAGTTCTGCTCTGATTTTAGTTATTTCTAGCCTTCTGCTAGCTTTTGAATGTGTTTCCTCTTGCTTTTCTAGTTCTTTTAATTGTGATGTTAGGGTGTCAATTTTGGATCTTTCCTGCTTTCTCTTTTGGGCATTTAGTGCTATAAATTTCCCTCTACACACTGCTTTGAATGTGTCCCAGAGATTCTGGTATGTTGTGTCTTTGTTCTCGTTGGTTTCAAAGAACATCTTTATTTCTGCCTTCATTTCGTTATGTACCCAGTAGTCATTCAGGAGCTGGTTGTTCAGTTTCCATGTAGTTGAGTGGTTTTGAGTGAGATTCTTAATCCTGCATTCTAGTTTGATTGCACTGTGGTCTGAGAGATAGTTTGTTATAATTTCTGTTCTTTTACATTTGCTGAGGAGAGCTTTACTTCCAAGTATGTGGTCAATTTTGGAATAGGTGTGGTGTGGTGCTGAAAAAAATGTATATTCTGTTGATTTGAGGTGGAGAGTTCTGTAGATGTCTATTAGGTCCGCTTGGTACAGAGCTGAGTTCAATTCCTGGGTATCCTTGTTGACTTTCTGTCTCATTGATCTGTCTAATGTTGACAGTGGGGTGTTAAATTCTCCCATTATTAACGTGTGGGAGTCCAAGTCTCTTTGTAGGTCACTCAGGACTTGCTTCATGTATCTGGGTGCTCCTGTGTTGGGTGCATATATATTTAGGATAGTTAGCTCTTCTTGTTGAATTGATCCCTTTACCATTATGTAATGGCCTTCTTTGTCTCTTTTGATCTTTGTTGGTTTAAAGTCTGTTTTATCAGAGACTAGGATTCCAACCCCTGCCTTTTTTTGTTTTCCATTTGCTTGGTAGATCTTCCTCCATCCTTTTATTTTGAGCCTATGTGTGTCTCTGCACTTGAGATGGGTTTCCTGAATACAGCACACTGATGGGTCTCGACTCTTTATCCAATTTGCCAGTCTGCGTCTTTTAATTGGAGCATTTAGTCCATTTACATTTAAAGTTAATATTGTTATGTGTGAATTTGATCCTGTCATTATGATGTTAGCTGGTTATTTTGCTCATTAGTTGATGCAGTTTCTTCCTAGTCTCGATGGTCTTTACATTTTGGCATGATTTTGCAGCGGCTGGTACCGGTTGTTCCTTTCCATGTTTAGTGCTTCCTTCAGGAGCTCTTTTAGGGCAGGCCTGGTGGTGACAAAATCTCTCAGCATTTGCTTGTCTGTAAAGTATTTTATTTCTCCTTCACTTATAAAGCTTAGTTTGGCAGGATATGAAATTCTGGGTTGAAAATTCTTTTCTTTAAGAATGTTGAATATTGGCCCCAACTCTCCTCTGGCTTGTAGAGTTTCTGCTGAGAGATCCGCTGTTAGTCTGATGGGCTTCCCTTTGAGGGTAACCCGACCTTTCTCTCTGGCTGCCCTTAACATTTTTTCCTTCATTTCAACTTTGGTGAATCTGACAATTATGTGTCCTGGAGTTGCTCTTCTCGAGGAGTATCTTTGTGGTGTTCTCTGTATTTCCTGAATCTGAACGTTGGCCTGCCTTGCTAGACTGGGGAAGTTCTCCTGAATAATATCCTGCAGAGTGTTTTTCAACTTGGTTCCATTCTCCCCATCACTTTCAGGTACAGCAATCAGACGTAGATTTGGTCTTTTCACATAGTCCCATATTTCTTGGAGGCTTTGCTCGTTTCTTTTTATTCTTTTTTCTCTAAACTTCCCTTCTCTCTTCATTTCATTCATTTCATCTTCCATTGCTGATACCCTTTCTTCCAGTTGATCGCATTGGCTCCTGAGGCTTCTGCATTCTTCACGTAGTTCTCGAGCCTTGGTTTTCAGCTCCATCAGCTCCTTTAAGCACTTCTCTGTATTGGTTATTCTAGTTATACATTCTTCTAATTTTTTTTCAAAGTTTTCAACTTCTTTGCCTTTGGTTTGAATGTCCTCCTGTAGCTCAGAGTAATTTGATCGTCTGAAGCCTTCTTCTCTCAGCTCGTTAAAGTCATTCTCCGTCCAGCTTTGTTCCGTTGCTGGTGAGGAACTGCATTCCTTTGGAGGAGGAGAGGCGCTCTGCTTTTTAGAGTTTCCAGTCTTTCTGTTCTTTTTTTTCCCCATCTTTGTGGTTTTATCTACTTTTGGTCTTTGATGATGGTGATGTACAGATGGGTTTTTCGTGTGGATGTCCTTTCTGTTTGTTAGTTTTCCTTCTAAAAGATAGGACCCTCAGCTGCAGGTCTGTTGGAGTACCCTGCTGTGTGAGGTGTCAATCTTCCCCTGCTGGGGGGTGCCTCCCAGTTAGGCTGCTTGGGGGTCAGGGGTCAGGGACCCACTTGAGGAGGCAGTCTGCCCGTTCTCAGATCTCCAGCTGCATGCTGGGAGAACCACTGCTCTCTTCAAAGCTGTCAGACAGGGACATTTAAGTCTACAGAGGTTACTGCTGTCTTTTTGTTTGTCTGTGCCCTGCCCCCAGAGGTTGAGCCTACAAAGGCAGGCAGGCAGGCCTCTTTGAGCTGTGGTGGGCTCCACCCAGTTCGAGCTTCCTGACTGCTTTGTTTACCTAAGCAAGCCTGGGCAATGGCATGCACCCCTCCCCCAGCCTCGCTGCCACCTTGCAGTTTGATCTCAGACTGCTGTGCTAGCAATCAGCGAGACTCCGTGGGTGCAGGACCCTCCAAGCCAGGTGCGGGATATAATCTCCTGGTGTGCTGTTTTTTAAGCCCATTGGAAAAGCGCAGTATTCAGGTGGGAGTGACCCGATTTTCCAGGTGCCATCTGTCACCCCTTTCTTTGACTAGGAAAGGGAACTCCCTGACCCTTTGCGCTTCCCGAGTGAGGCAATGCCTCACCCTGCTTCAGCTCACACACGGTGCGCACACCCACTGACCTACGCCCACTGTCTGGCACTCCCTAGTGAGATGAACCCGGTACCTCAGATGGAAATGCAGAAATCACCCGTCTTCTGCGTCGCTCATGCTGGGAGCTGTAGGCCAGAGCTGTTCCTATTCGGCCATCTTGGCTCCTCCCCCTCGCCAGCACTCTTTTTAAGGAGTTCTACCATTACAGCAGGTTGGCAAAGGACTTGAGAGCCATGATGAAGGTTCTGGTAGGTCAGGGGTTGTCATGGAGGGATTTTAATTTAGGAAATGAAATATTCAATTGACTTTTGTAAAAGTAACTTTAGAAAAGTAACTATGGCAGTAGCATGTTAGCATGAAAGTAAGACTGGATTCCGGGGGAACAATTAGGAGGCAGTAGCTATAATCCTGGTGGTTCTTTGCAGGTGATTTGATCTCAGAGGTCATAGAAATGCAGAAAAGTGAAAGGACTTGAGAGGTATTTTATGGTAGAATAGTCAGGAACTGATAATTGTTTGAATCTGATAGAGAGGAGGGTGAGAGATTAGGAGACTCAAAAATGATTCCCAGGTTTCTGGCTTGGTTGATTGGGTGGGTAGATGTCCCATTCATAAGAATGAGAAGTCTGGAGAAAGGACAGGTTTGGAGGGGAATATGTTAAGTTTTTGTTCATGTTGAGTTTTAGTACCTTAGGACACCCAAGTAGAAACGTCCTGCAGACAGTCAGATATACTATACAGAACTTAAATTTGTAGAGGATTATTCAAACAAGTGTGGGCAATTTGCCCAGTCTACAGCCCAGCCCAGAGAACTGTTCCCACTCTAACCTTATATTCTAGTGCCCACCCCAAACCCTCACTCCCCTCCAGCTACACTGGCTTCATTGGTGAGTCTCCAAAACACCAGGCACACTCTGGATTGGAGGCCTTGTCAGTGGCTGTTTCGTCTGCTTGGAATGTTCTCCTCCCCAAATCTGCACAGCCAATTTTATTATCTCCTTCAAGGCTTTGCTCATTCTCCTTCTCAATGTGGCCTTACCAAGATCACACTGTTTAAAATTGTAATCACAGCCCCTTCCCCGACATATTACTGATCTTTTTTAGCTCTACTTACTCTTTATTTCATAGTTCTTATCATCTTGTATTGTATTGTATTAGATCATGTGTTTATTCATGATATTTATTGCTTATTATGTCTCTCCCACTGCAGGAAAGGAAGGTCCATATGGGCAAGGATCTTTGTCTGTTCACTGATGTATCCCAAGTGCCCAGAACAGTGCTTGGGACACAATGAGTTCTCAATAAATATTTGTTGTCTATATTAATGTTTGCTTAGCACAAAAGTTCTCCATTTTATTGACTTACTGAAGCACCAGAATCTCCATGTGGGAGCCCCTATTTCTATCAATCACTCTCTCCCCTGCATTACCACAATGCAACAGATTCTTAGAGTAGTGATTCTCAAATTTAGACACACTGATGAATCACCTGAGAATGAATATATATATATATTAGAGATAGGGTCTTGCTCTGTCACCCAGGCTGGAGTGCAGTGGCACAGTTACAGTTCACTGTAGCCTCAAAATCCTGGGCTCAAGCAATCTTATTTCTTCAGCCTCCTGGGTAGCTAGGATTATAGGCACACACCACCATGCCCAACTAATTTTTTAAATTTTTTGTAGAGACAAGGTCTCACTATGTTGCCCAGGCTGGTATTGATCTCCTGACCTCCAGTGATCATCCTGCCTTGGCCTCCCGAAGTGCTGAGATTACAGGCTTCACCTGGGCATATTTTAAAAATGCAGGTTAGGACCAATAAGTGAATGTGAAACCAGAGATTCTGCATGCTTATCAAGCTTCCACTAATGCCAATGCTAACGGTCTGTGGACCACAGGTTGATAGCAAGAACTTAAGAAAACATCCAACTACTGGTTAATACCTGCCAAAAGTCACAGACACTTTTCTGTATGTTAGCAGATTGTCATTTCTAGGAAGAAAAAACAATATAGAATAACATGAATTAGGTAACAATACATTAAGACAATTAAGTGCCAGAAGCAATGATGCACATGATTGTTACTTGTGAGAATTGAGGAAAGGGGACATCAAAGTGGTAGGGGAGAGTATTCACCTATGATAATTGGTTGAGAGACAATTGGTTAAGAAATGTTTAGTTACTATCAAAGAACAGAGTGATGTATTGAATATTCATTAAGTAATATTTCAAACAAATTCAGTGCCTGTTACATGCCAGGTACTTTATGTATATTATCCTAATCTCCCTTTCAATCTGTAAAATTGTATTATTATCTCCTTTTGATGAAGGAGAAGAGTTAAATAGCTGGACTCAGTACACAGCTAGTAACTGTTTGTCTGTTATTGGAGCTGTTGAATTTCAAAGCTCCTTTTCTTTCTACTACAACAGTATCATGCCTTTAAGAAGTGAATGAGTCTGACTGTGGTGTCCTCTGCTTACCAGAAATCCTCAGGTTCCTCCAGCCTCTGAATAATTTGGAGTGAACCTATCAGGTGCTCTGGAAACAATAAACAATTGATGGATTGTGGCTTTATTCTCCACTTCTCATCTTTCCTCAGTTACACTCTAACTCCCCTTTCATTTGGGGCTCCAATGTTGAGACATAAGCACATAATATCCATCTCTTGGGCCCAAGTGATGATAGCAGGCTCTAGACTTCCAGGTCTTCCCTATCTTCTGTTATCCTTGTTTCTTTGGGCCAGTTATTTAATCTCTGTAAAGCTCAGTGGCCTCATTTGTTAATGAACATAATAATAGTATTTGCCTAATAGGGCTGTTAATGAGGATCAGAAGGGATTGTGTTTACAAATATCCTAACCCTGTACCTGACACATAATAAGGACTAAATGAATGCAAGTGATAATAGCACATCCTACAGGATTTTATCTTTTCCTTCACCAACAGTGAGCAACTTGAAGGCCTCAAGTGTAAGATATTCATTCTCCTATCTCCATACCCAATAATATTACACAAATAAATACATGCTTTGTAATAAGTGAACTGACCATTATTCCACTGAGTCCAGTAAATATCCAGGTTTCTAGTAAATGCTGAGCTTGCATTTAGTGGTGAGGGGATGTGCAAATTTGAAAATATACAAACTCTATCTTTGAGGCATCTAGACTAAGTGGGATGTAGTTCTAATGTAAACAAGGTTGAGTGACATCTATTTGTTGAATTAAATAATTTTAGATAGTAATAAAAATAGCTACCAGTTTTTTACCCTCTCGTTATATGCCTGGCACAGGCATAATTTTATTTTACCCTAATACCAACCCTGTGTGATAGGTACTATTTTCATCCTTATTTAAAATAAAAGTAATGTCTCAAAAGGTTAAGCAACTTATTCAAGTACAATCAGTTAAAAAGTACTATAACCAGTACTTAAATCCAGGAAAATGTGACTCCAAGACTCATACACTTTTCATTGCCCTCTCTATACACATTGTGAGTTACTTATAGAAACATCTCCCCATTGCTTTGGTGTTTTAGACATGAAGTCCTTGCCCATGCCTATGTCCTGAATGGTATTGCCTAGGTTTTCTTCTAGGGTTTTTATGGTTTTAGGTCTAACATGTAAGTCTTTAATCCATCTTGAATTAATTTTTGTATAAGATATAAGGAAGGGATCCAGTTTCAGCTTTCTACATATGTCTAGCCAGTTTTCCCAGCACCATTTATTGAATAGGCAATGGCAACAAAAGCCAAAATGGGATCTAATTAAACTAGAGAGCTTCTGCACAGCAAAAGAAACCACCATCAGAGTGAACAGGCAACCTACAGAATGGGAGAAAATTTTTGCAACCTACTCATCTGACAAAGGGCTAATATCCAGAATCTACAATGAACTCAAACAAATTTACAAGAAAAAAACAAACAACCCCATCAAAAAGTGGACGAAGGATATGAACAGACACTTCTCAAAAGAAGACATTTATGCAGCCAAAAAACACATAAATAAATGCTCATCATCACTGGCCATCAGAGAAATGCAAATCAAAACCACAATGAGATACCATCTCACACCAGTTAGAATGGCGATCGTTAAAAAGTCAGGAAACAACAGGTGCTGGAGAGGATGTGGAGAAATAGGAACACTTTTACAGTGTTGGTGGGACTGTAAACTAGTTCAAGCATTGTGGAAGTCGGTGTGGCGATTCCTCAGAGATCTAGAACTAGAAATATCATTTGACCCAGCCATCCCATTACTGGGTATATACCCGAAGGATTATAAATCATGCTGCTATAAAGACATATGCACACATATATTTATTGTGGCATTATTCACAATAGCAAAGACTTGGAACCAACCCAAATGTCCAAACATGATAGACTGGATTAAGAAAATGTGGCACATATACACCATGGAATACTATGCAGCCATAAAAAATGATGAGTTCATGTCCTTTGTAGGGACATGGATGAAACTGGAAACCATCATTCTCAGCAAACTATTGCAAGGACAAAAAACCAAACATTGCATGTTCTCACTCATAGGTGGGAATTGAACAATGAGAACACATGGACACAGGAAGGCGAACATCACACACTGGGGACTGTTGTTGGGTGGGGGGAGCAGGGAGGGATAGCATTAGGAGATATACCTAATGCTAAATGACGAGTTGATGGGTGCAGCACACCAGCATGGCACATGTATACATATGTAACAAACCTGCATGTTGTGCACAGGTCCCCTAAAACTTAAAGTATAATAATAATAATAATAAAAGAAAAAAAAGAAATATCTCCCCCGTAAGTTCTAAGTACTTATGAACTTGAGAGCCTCCCACAAATATGGCTAATATTGTATCTAAACTAGCATCATGGAAGACCATGGGCCAGGGACTCTGAAACTGACAAAAGCTCATTTACAAAAGTAAAGATCTCACAGCCCACATACTTTATCCATTCCTTTAATGGGCAAATAAAATGTAGGGATAATCAAGAAATGTATTTACAGAAGCAAAAATGAGGAGGGTGGAGTATTAAATATACACCTACTGTAACAACAAGAGTATGGATGGATTTTCCTGGAGATTTTTAACTCTCCCCACAGAAACACCACAATGAACAAGTATCCACACCAAATATCACCTTCATAAGAACAAAAAATCAGATAAGCAACCACACTACCTGGTTTTAACATCATGTCAGGTAAAGAGGCACTGAAGTGGACAGAAAAAACAGTCTCGAATTGTCAACACCACCTCACACCAATCCTTTGGCAGTGGCTGTATGGCACAGAGAAAGAATTTGTGCAATAGGGGAAGAGAGAGTGCAGTGATTGAGGGACTTCGCATTGGAACTCTGTGCTGCCCTGTCACAGTGGAAAGCAACACTGGGAAGAACTCAGCTGGTGCCCACAGAGGGAACATTTAGGCCAGACCTAATCAAGGGGAATTGCCCATCCCAGCAGTCAGAATCTGAGCTCCAGCAAACCTCACCATCATGAGCTAAAGTTCTCTGGGGCCTTAAATAAACTTGAAAGACAGTCTAGGTCACAAAAACTATAATTCCTGGGCATGTCCTGATGATGTTCTGGCTTGAAGCCAGTGGAATTGGGGGACATATGACACAGTTAGACATGAGCCAAGGTGGCACCACCCCTCTCTCAACCCTAGGCAGCACAGCTTGCAGCTTCAGGAGAAACTCCTTCCTTTAGCTTAAGGAGAGGAGAGGGAAGAGTAGAGGACTTTGTTTTGCTATTTGGCTACCAGCTCAGCCACAGTAGAATAGGGCACCAGTCAGATTCCTAAGGCCTTCATTCCAGGTCCTAGTTCCTGGATAACATTTTTAGACACAATTTGAGCCAGAAGGAAACATGCTACCTTGAAGAGAAGAACCCAGTCCTTGCAGGATCCATAACCTACTGACTAAAGAGCCCTTGGGCCCTGAATAATTAGTAGCAATAGCCAGGCAGTACTTGCTGTGGGCCTTGGGTAAGATTCAGAGATGTGCTGGCTTCGTGTGCGACCCAGCACATTCCTAGCTTTAGTGGCTACAGGAAAGGAATCCTTCTGCTTGAGAATAGCAGAGGGAAGAGTAAAGGGGACTTTGTCTTGCAGCTTAGGTACTAGCTAGGCCACAGTGGGGTAGAGGACCAAGTGGACTCTTGGGATGTCTGATTTCAGGTCGTTGCTCTTCGATGGCATTTCTGTTCCTGCCTTAGGTCAGAGAGGAGCCCACTGCCCTGAAGGGAGCGTCCTAGGCCTAGAAACATCTACCACAAGCTGACTGAAGAGCCCTGGGACCTTGAATGAACTTCAGTAGTAGTCAGGAAGTACTTGTCACAGGTGTGGGGTGGTGGTGGCCATGAGGAGTGACTCCTTTGCTTGTGAAAATGGAGGGAAGAGTGGGAAAGACTTTGTCTTGTGGCCTGAGTGCTAACTTAGCCACAGTAGAATAGTGCACCAGGTAGAATCCTAAGGTTTCTGACTTCAGGCCCTAGCTCCCAGACAGCATCTTGGAACCCACCCAGGACTAGCAGGATCTCACCTCTCTGAAGGGAAAGATGCAAGCCTGGCTGGCTTTGCCACCTGCTGATTGTACAGCCCTAGGGCCTTTGAGCAAACATAGGTGGAAACCAGGCAGTGGTTACTGCAGGTCTTGGGTGAGACCCAGTGCTGTGCTGGCTTCAGATCTTACCAAACACAGTCCCAGTGGTGGTAGTGACATAGGCGTTTGTGTCACTCCTCCCTCACCTCCAGGAAATTCAGCACAGAGGGAAACACTCTACTTTTTTGGGAGAAAGTAAGGGAATAGAAGAGTCTCTGCTTGGTAATGCAGATGATTCCTCTACATCTTATCCAAGACCAAGGTGGTACCTCTGTGAGTCTGTAGGAGCCACTCCATTACTGGGATTATAATGTCCCTTAATGCAGAGATGGCTGCAGTGACCAAAATCTTAAACACTCAAGTGTCTTTGAACACCCGAAAGCCTTCCCAAGAAAAACAGGTACAAACAAGTCCAGACTGCAAAGACTACAGTAAATGCCTAACTCTTCATTGCCCAGACACTGATGAATATCTACAAGCATCAAGATCATCCAGGGAAACAGGACCTCACCAAATGAACTAAATAAGGTACCAGGGACCAATCCTGGAGAGATAGAGATTTGCGGCCTTTCAGACAAAGAATTCAAAATAGTTGTTTTGAGGAAACTCAACACAATTCAAGATAACATAGAGAAGGAATTATTAATTCTATCACATAAATGTAACAAAGAAATTGAATAATTAAAAAGAATTCAGCAGAAATTCTGGAGTTGAAAAATACAATTGACATACTGAAGAACACATCAGTCTCTTAATGGCAGAATTGGTCACACAGAGGAAAGCACTGGTGAGCTTGAAGACAGGTTATTTGAAAATGCACAGAGGCCAGGCATGGTGGCACACACCTGTAATCCCAGCACTTTGGGAGGCCGAGGCAGGCAGACCACGAGGTTAGGAGTTCGAGACCAGCCTGGCCAACATAGTGAAACCCTGTCTCTAGTAAAAACAAAAATAAATAAATTAGCTGGGCATGGTGGCACGCACCTGTAATCCCAGCTACTCAGGAGGCTGAGCCAGGAGAATCACTTGAACCCAGTAGGCGGAGGTTGCAGTGAGCTGAGATTGCACCACTGCTCTCCAGCCTAGGCAATAGAGTGAGACTCTGTCAAAAAAAAAAAAAAAGAAAAGAAAAGGAAAATGCACAGAGAAGATAAAAAATAATTAAAAAGAATAAAACGTGCCTAAAAAATCTAGAAAATAGCCTCAAGAGGGCAAGTCTAACAGTTATTTAGATTTAAATACACTTAAAGAGGAGGTGTACAGAGAGATGAAGTAGAAAGTTTATTCAAAGGGATAACAAACAACTTCCTAAACCTAGAGGAAGATATCAATATTCAAGCAGAAGAAGGTTATAGAACAGCAAACAGATTTATCCAAAGAGACTCCATGAAGGCATTTAATAATTAAACTCCCAAAGGTCAAGTTTAAGGAAAGGATCCTAAAAGCAGCAAGAGAAAAGAAACGAATAACATACAACGAGCTCCAATGTGTCTGACAGCAGACTTCAGTGGAAACCTTACAGGGCAGGAGAAGGTGGCATGACATATTTAAAGTGCTGAATGAAACAACAACAACAACAAAAACTTTTATCCTAGAATAGTATATCTGGCAAAAAATATTCTTCAAACATCAAGGAGAAATAAAGACTTCCCCAGACAAACAAAAGCTGAGGGACTTCATCAACACCAGATCTGTCCTACAAGAAGTGCTGAAGGAAATTCTTAAGTACGAAAGAAAAGGGCATTAATGAGCAATAAGTAAGCATCTGAAAGTATAAAATGCACCGGCAATAGTAAGTACAGAGAAACACACAGAATATTCTAACACTGTAATTGTGATGTGTAAACTAAACACATCTTGAATACAAAGACTAAAGGATGAACCAATAAAAAATAATAATTACAACAACTTTTCAAGACATAGACAGTATGATAAGATATAAATAGAAAAAACAAAAAGTTAAAAAGTGGGGGGACAAAGTTAAAGTGTAAATTTTTTATTAATTTTCACTTTGCTTGCTTGTTTGTTTACGCAGTGTTAAGCTGTCATGAGTTTAAAATATTGGGTTATATTATTTGCAATACTCATGGTAATCTCAAATCAAAATGCATACAGCAGATACACAAGAGGTAAAAATCAAGAAATTAAAACAATATTGCCAGAGAAAATCAGCTTCACTAAAAGGAAGACAGAAAGGAAAAAAAGGAAAGACCACAAAACAACTAGAAAACAAATAGCAAAATGACCGGAGGAGGTCCCTACCTATCAATAATAACATTGAATATAAATTCATGAAACTCTCCAATGAAAAGACACTGAGTGGCTGAATGGATTTTTAAAAAAGCAAGAATTAACTCTCTGTTGCCTACAAGAAACACACTCACATATAAAGATATACATAAACCAAAAATAATGAAAAAATATGTTCTATGTCAGTGGAAACCAAAAACAGCAGTAGTAGCTATACTTATATCAGACAAAATGGATTTTGAGACAAAGCCTATAAAAAGGGACAAAAAATGTCGTTATATAATGATAAAGGGGTCAATTCAGCAAGAGGATATATCAATTTTAAATATATATGCAATCAACATGGAAATACCCAATATATAAAGCAAATGTTATTAGAGGTAAAGAGAGAGATGGGCCCCAGTACATTAACTGAGGACTTCAGTATCTCACTTTCAGCATTGGACAGATCATCCAGACAGAAAATAGACAAAGAAACATTGGACTTAATCTGCACTATAGACCAAATGGACCCAATAGATATTTACAGAACATTTCATCCAATGGCTACAAAATACACATTGTTCTCCTCAGCACATGGATCATTTTCAAGGATAGATCATATGTTACTTCACAAAGCAAGTCATGAAACATTCAACAAATTGAAATAATATTACATATCTTCTCTGACCACAGTGGAACAAAACTGGAAATAAATAACAAGAAGAAGTCTGGAAAGTATACAAACACATTGAAATCAAACAATATACTCCTGAATGACCAGTTGGTCAATGAAGAAATTAAGAAGGAAATGGAAAAATTTCTTGAAACAAATCATAATGAAAACAAAACATACCAAGACCTATGGAATACAGTGAAAGCAATACTAAGAGAAGTTTTGGCTTTGAGTGCCTACATCAAAGAAGAAGAAAAACTTCAAATAAACAACTTAACGATGCATCAAAGAACTAGAAAAGCAAGAGCAAAGCAAACCCAAAATTAGTAGAAAAAGAATAATAAATAATCAGAGCAGAGTCTGTAATCCCAGCACTTTGGGAAGCCGAGGCAGGCGGATCACGAGGTCAGGAGATCGAGACCATCCTGGCTAACACGGTGAAACCACGTCTCTACTAAAAATACAAAAAATTAGCCGGGCATGGTGGCAGGCACCTGTAGTAGCAGCTACTCAGGAGGCTGAGGCAGAAGAATGGCGTGAACCCAGGAGGCAGAGCTTGCAGTGAGCCGAGATCACACCACTGCACTCCGGCCTGGGCAACAGAGCAAGACTCTATCTCAAAATAATAATAATAATAATAATCAGAGCAGAAATAAATTAATTAAAATGAAGAAAACACCACAAAACATTAATGAAACAAAAAGTTGGTATTTTGCAATGATAAAAAAAAAAGGACAAAACCTTAGCCACTCTAAGAGAAAGAGAGAAGATCCAAATAAATTTTTTAAAATCAGTGATGAAAAAGGAGACATTACAACTGATACTACAGAATGCAAAGAATCCTTAGAGGCTACTATAATCAACTATATGCCAATAAATTGGAAAACCTAGAATAAATGGATACATTCTTAGACACATACAACCTGAGCAGACCAATAGCAAGTAACAAGATCAAAGCCATAATAAAAAGTCTCCCAGCAAAAGAAAGCCCAGGACCCAATGGCTTCACTGCTGACTTTTACCAAATATTTAAAAAAGAACTAACACCAATCCTACTCGAACTCTCCCAAAAAATAGAGTACAGAGGAATACTTTCAAACTAATTCAATAAAGTCAGTATTATCCTGATACCAAAACCAGACAAAGACACATCAAAGAAAGAAAAATATAAGCCAATACCCCTGATAAACATTGATGGAAAAATCCTCAACACAATCCTAGCAAACCAAATTCAACAATACATTAGAAAGATCATTCATTATAACCAGGTGGGATTTATCCCAGAGATGCAAGGACAATTCAACATATGCAAATCAATCAATGTGATACATCATATCAACAGAATGAAAGACAAAAACCATATGATCATTTCAATTGATGCTGAAAAAGCATTGGATAAAATTCAACATCCCTTCATGACAAAAACCCTCAAAAAACTCGGTATAGAGGTAACATACCTCAACACAATAAAAGCCACATATGACAAACCCACAGCTAGTATCACAGTGAATGAGGAAAAACTAAAAGCCTTTTCTCTAAGATCTGGAACATGACAAGGATACCCATTTTCACCACCATTATTCAATATAATGCTGGAATTCCTAGCTAGAGCAATCAGACAATAGAAAAAAAAAGGCACCCAAATTAGAATGAGAGAAGTCAAATTATCCTTGTTAGCAGATTATATGATTTCATATTTGTAAAAATCTAAAGATTCCACCAAAAACCTATTAGAACTGATCAACAAATTTAGTAAAATTGCAGGATACAAAATTAACATACAAAAATAATAGCATTTCTATATGCCAACAGTGACCAATCTGAAAAAGAAATTTAAAAACTAGTCTCATTTATAATAGCTATGAATAAAATAAAATACCCAGGAATGAACTTAACCAAAAAAGTAAAATATCTTTACAATGAAAACTATAAAAGAATGATGAAAGAAATGGAAGATGACACAGAAATATGGAAAGATATTCCATGTTCACGGAATAGAAGAATCAATATTGTTAAAATGTCCATATTTCCCAAAGCAATTTACAGATTCAGTGCCACCTCTATCAAAATACCAATGACATTCTTTGCAGAAATAGAAAAGAGAATCTTAAAATTTATAAAAAGACCCAGAATAGCCAAAGCTATCCTGAACAAAAAGAACAAAACTGGAGGAATCACATTACTTGACTTCAAATTATACTACAAAGCTATAGTAACCAAAACAGCATGGCACTGGCATAAAACAGACACACAGACCAATGGAACAGAATAGAAAACCCAGAAACAAATCCATACATCTACAGTGAACTCATTTTTGATGAAGGTGCCCAAAACATATGTTGGAGAAAATACAGTCTCTTGAATAAATGGTGCTGGGAAAAATGGATATCCATATGCAGAAGAATAAAGCTATATCCCTATCTCTCACCATATACAACAATCAAATCAAAATTGACTAAATATTTAAATCTAAGACCTCAAACTATGTGTAACTACTATAAGAAAACATTGGGGAAACTCTCCAAGACATTAGACTGAGCAAAAATTTCTTGAGTAATATACTACAAGCACAGACAACCAAAGCAAAAATGGACAAGTGAGACTACATCAAGTTAAAAAGCTTCTGCACAGCAAAGGAAACAATCAACAAAGTGAAGAGACAACCCACAGAATAGCAGAAAGTATTTGCAAACTACCAATCTGACAAGGGATTAATAACCATAATATATAAGGAGCTCAAGCAACTGTATAGAAAAAATATCTAATAATCCAATAAAAAATAGGCAAAAGATCTGAATAGATATTTCTCAAGAGAAGACATACAAATGGCAAACAGGCCTATGAAAAAGTGCTCAACATCACTGATCATCAGAGAAATGCAAATCAAAACTACAATGAGATAATCTCACCTCAGTTAAAATGTCCTTTATCCAAAGATAGGCAATACAAATGCTGGGGAGGATATGGAGAAAAAAGAATCCTTGTACACTGTCGGTAGAAATGTAAGTTAGTGCAACCATTTCAAAGAACAGTTTGGAGATTCCTCAGAAAATTAAAAATAGAGCTACCATATGATCCAGCAATCCCACTGCTAGGTATATACCTGAAAGAAAGGAAATCAGTATATGAAGAGACATCTTCACTCCCATGTTAATTGCAATACTCTTCACAATAGCTAAGATTTGAAAGCGACATAAATGTCCATCACTAGATGAATGGATAAAGAAAATGTGGTACTTATGCACCATGGAGTACTATGCAGCCGTGAAGAAGAATGAGATGCTATCATTTTCAACAACATGGATAGAACTAGAGGTTATTATGTTAAGTGAAATAAGCCGGGCACTGAAATACAAACTTTGCGTGTTCTCACTTATTTGTGGGAAGTAAAAGTTAAAACAATTGAACTCATGGAGACAGAGGATAGAATAATAGTTACCATAGGCTTAGAAGGGTATTGTGGTGGGGGAGGGGGCACGATAATTAATAGGTTCAAAAATATTGTTAGCTAGAATAAATAAGATCTAGCATTTGATAGGACAATGGGGCAAGTACAATTAACAATAATTTGTTGGACATTTAAAAATAACTAAAAGACTATAGCTGAGTTGTTTGTAACACAAAGAAAGGATAAATGCTTGATGTGGATGGATACCCCATTTATCTTGATGTGATTGTTATGCATTGTATGCCTGTAACAAAATATCTCATGTACTCCATAAATATGTATACCTACTCTGTGACCAGAAATGTTAAAAATTAAAAATTAAAAAAGTATATGGGTGATTTCTACCTCAACTGCAGCACATATGTGTTGAGTATCAATTGGAAAATAAGTCAAAAATTATGTTAATGCACCAGTATACACCGAATGATTAAATAATCCAAGAAATAAATAATAAATCTTAGAAGTATTCATAATGAACTCTTAATTCTTTATTAAACTGAAATCTATGAAGTCTTGTGTCATTTATCTGTAACAGTAAAACAAAGTACTTGCATATTTGAATCAGTTATCTGGCCATTATCTGGACTTTCATAGCTTGGCACTGAGCCACAAATCATATACTGAGAATTACTTTCATGTAACCTTGCAACAGTGATCAAAATTGAGGTCTGTGTCATCTGATCCAAAAGTCGCTTTGAGTTCTTAAATCAGACAACATTCAGGAGGCATGAAGACCAATATTGTGATATATTTTATTATAAGGAAAACATGGTAAGGTCACCAAGAAAAGCCTAGACTTGAAAGAGAAGAGCAAAATCAGGCCATGAAATTAGGCACTTATCTCTTAATGCAACTATCAATATGTTTTTATTACTAAAGGTAACAATTCTGAAGTACTTATTTTGTACCAGGAATTGTGCTAACTGCTTTGCATATATTGTCTTGTATAAACTTCAAAACAAACCAACAAAGTAGTTACTGTTATCCATACCCAGTTTACAGCTGAGAAACTGAGGCTTAGGAAGGATAAGCAACTCCTTTCAATACCACTTAGCCAATAACTAGTGAAACAAGATTTTGGACCCAAAGTCCATGCTCTTAATCACTGTATTCCATCATTGTATTCCATGTTTAATGTACTATTAGTTAATGTCTACCACAGATTAGACTGCATCTTTTGTTATGAGGATTATTATCAAACTTAGATCCTTTTGACAGTAGAAGGAGGCATGATTAATAATTTTGTTGGGCATTCACAAGGACTGTCCCAGGCAAACAAGGATATATGTAATCCTATTTAATAACTTTCCAATCTGCATCCTGACATGATACATACACAGCAAGAATTTTAACATCAGTTTGTAATTGTAATTGGGTGTACAAGTTAGATTGTGTACCACAAACACCTGCAGGGTAACCATTGTGATATATAATGATGTGTTAACAGACCTCTAGTGCACTAGAAGAAAATCTATTTTCCTGGCTTGAAAGGGACCAATGAATTGTATGGGTCCAAAGTGGTGCTTTGGGGCTATGTGGAGCAAGTTTGCACTGTGAAATTTCACAGAGGCAAGAACCTTTATGTTAACGAAAAAAGACTGGTACCTCTTTACAAAGCCAGTTCCCAGTGCCCCTGGCCCTGCAGGAAAGCAGTTCTACTAAACAGGTGACAGACACATCTGCAGCAATGGATCTTTAGCCTGGGTCCAGGCTGAACTAGGATGTCAGAGCAGGTCTGGAGGCAAGAGATGGGTGGTAGAGACATTGTATTAGTCCATTCTCACACTGCTATAAAGAACTGCCTGAGACTGAATAATTTATAAAGGAAAAAGGTTTAATTGGCTCACAGCTCCACATGGCTGGAGAGGCCTCAGGAAACTTACGATCATGACGAAAGGGGAAGCAAACATGTCCTTCTTCCCATGGCAGCAGGAGAGAGAAGTGCAGAGCAAAAGAGGAAAAGTTCCTTGTAAAACCATCAGATCCCATGAGAACTCAGTCACTATCATGAGAACAGCATGGGGAAACTGCCCCCATTATTCAGTTATCTTCACCTGGTTCTGCCCTTGATACATGTGGATTATTAGAATTCAAGGTGATATTTGAGTGGGGACATAGAGCCAAACCATATTAGGCATAGAGGTTTGATGGGAGAGAACAGAGCAAAATGAGGCTGCAGGGCTAAGCAGAGCTATCCTCAATGGCGGTTATGCAGATTCCCTTCAGATATTGATCTTTTTATAACTTACTTTTATTAACTGAAAAATGAACTTTTAAAACCTTTGTACTCCAATATTCTTTGAAACCATCATAAGGCATAGCACTTAATCTCTCAGAGTTGAAGATTTCTACCTTCATTCAACAAATATTTCTTGAGGGCCCATTAAGTGTTCCAGGAAGTCTTCCAGGAGCTGGGGATGAGTGGTAAACACAACAAATTCTCTGACCTCATTACTGAGTATGTCTGAAGGCTTTTATGGAAAATGACACTTTTAAAAACGTATATAAACAATGTTTTTCCAAGTCATGAAAATTATATCCCCTCTTTAGCCCTCAGTTCCCTCAAGTGCAAAATAAAGGCATTGACCTGGCTACCTTTCCAGGGCTCTTCCAACTCTAAAATCCTATGGCCCTACTGTCACTTTCTTCAGGTTGGTGTGAAGGACAATGCCTTTCTTTATTCAGCTTTTCCAATCTTAGTGTTAAAAATATAAATTCATCTCAAAACAGCACAATTCAATATTTTTTATACTCAGAATGCAAATCAAAAGTTTAAACACATATATCAACTGAGGAGCTAAGCAAGAAGTGTAGTTATGCAACCAACATGTAAGACACCCATCCAGTGGCCTCCTCTGAAAGCTACACCAGAAAGACTTACTCTTTCTGAAGAGCAATCTTGGTCAGATAATTCTTTGTGGGCGTTATGTGAACCAACATTTCAGAGAAACCATACAATGGCAGGGCACTATAGTTGAAAGTGAAATTGTATTTTCCTTCTTACTATTCTTGCATCAGAAATGGAGAAAAGGATAAGAGTACTGCTCCTTTCCAGAATAAGAAGAAAATTAGCCTATTTCAGAACCAGGACTGGTAACATTTGGAAAGCTAATATAGGGAAGGGAGAGAGAAAATGAACTTTAATATTCCCATCCTACACGTCAACATTATGCCATGACTTACATGCATGACCTCTAAGCCTCACAGGGAGTTGACCCGGTAAGCATTATTGTCTTCTGCTGTAAGATAAGGAAACTAGGGATGGAAGAGGCCAAGTAATTGCACATTATTAAGTAGATGTTATTTGAGTCCGAAGCCACACTCTTTCCAGGTGCTCTCCTTTTTGGGATACCCTAACATGTTTAATCCAGTTTAGAAATTCCAAATTTAATTATATATTCACAATTTTTACTGTTGGCTGTTCATATGTAACCTTGTAGTATTGCTATATTATCAACAACATATAGAAGTGCTCCTGATCACTGCATAAATATGCAGCACCATGCCCAGTACGTATAGATGCTCAAATATACTAACTATTCTCCTAGAATCAGTGTTCCCCAACCTTTCTGTCACCAGGGACCGGTTTTATGGAAGACAATGGAATGGTATGGGGTTGGAGGGCAGGGATGGTTTTGGGCTGAAACTGTTCAACCTCAGATCATCAGGCATTAGATTCTCATAAGAAGCATGCAATGTGTATCCCACATGTGCAGTTCATGATAGGGTTCATGATCCTATGAGATTCTAATGCTGCCACTGATCTGACAGGAGCTGAGTTCAGGCAGTAAAGCTTACACACCTGCCACTCACCTCCTGCTGTTAGGTGATCATAACAGGCCACCAATCAGTACTGTTCTGCAGCCCAGGGGTCGCAGACTGCCTTAAATGATTATAGCCTATGTTTTCTTAACTAGGCTAATTAACATTAGTGAAGATTAATTTGTTTTGAGATCAGACCAGCAGCTAAGCCAAATGAATGAGGAAACAGCTGATTTGGCACCAGCATGTTCATGAAGAATGAACAGTCTATGGATTCAGAAGCTAAATTATATATGTACTGAATATTAGTTTGGGCACTTAATAGCAACATGACTTTGGCAAATTACTCCAACTGAGTGTCTGTATTATTCACTGTAAAACAAGGTAAATAATGCATTGCTGGATATTTTGTTTAACTTTTATTTTAGGTTTGGGGGTACATGAGAAGGTTCGTTATATAGGTAACATCATATCACGGGGGTTTGTTGTATAAATTGTTTCATTACCCAGGTATTAAGCCTAGTACCCAACAGTCATCTTTCTACTCTTCTTGCTCCTCCCACCCTCTACCCTCAAGTACACCCTGGTGTCTGTTGTTCCCTTCTTTGTGTTTATGAGTTCTCGTCATTGAATTCCCTTCTATAAGTGAGAATGTGGTATTTGGTTTTCTCTTCCTGTGTTAGTTTGCCAAAGATAATAGTATCCAGCTCCATCCATGTTCCCACAAAAGACATGATCTTGTTTTTATGGCTGTGTAGTATTCCATGGTGAATATGTACCACATTTTCTTTACTCAATCTGTCACTGATGGGCATTTAGGTTAATTCCAATGTCTTTGCTATTGTGAATGATTGCTAGATATTTGTGAAGATTAAATAAAAATATACAAATTAAATATTGAAATGAAAATATTACTAAACCCCTAGTACAGTGCCTGGCACATAGTAAGTACTCAATATTGTTATTACTAATTTAAGGTAACACACACTTTAGTAACAAAAATGTTATAGAAAAGAAAGAACAGTGATACTTTCAGTGCACATGCCGAAGATCTACTTTTGTTTTGCTTTGCTTTACAGCTATATTCATATTAGTAAAAGGTGCTGATCAGAGTATAATGGGATAAAACCTATTTGATGGCAAACAGTCAAACTGATGGCCTCCAGGATTTCGCATAATCTAGCCCCTCCTATCTCTCTGAACTTATTTCACACCAGTGCCCTTTTATTTAATATTCTTGGGCATTTTTAATATTTCCCCAAATTCTCTAATCCTAGGATCTTTGCATCAGTGTGCCCTCTTTTCCAAAATCTTCACAAAGCTCGTGCTTTCTCACTATTTGAGTCTCAGAGCAAATGTGATCTCTCTACAGAAGCCTCCCTGACTACGCATCTTAGGTCCTGGCTCCACCTCCATCCATTACCATCTACCTTACTAATTTTATTCACAGCATTTATCATTATCTGAAATTATTTTATATATGTATTTAGTTTCTTGTTTACTGTCCATTTTCACCCAGTAAAATGTCAGTTCTATGACATAGACATCTTATTCCTACTTTGGTATCCTCAGAGCCTACAACAGTGTCTGGCACATAACAGGCTTTTAAATTCTTGCTGACTAAATAAGCAGACTTTCATTTTGTTGTTCATACTTTCTTGAATTGCTTTATTCTACTGGAAGGAAATCCATAAATATTTTTGCTCATTTAATTGGATTTTTTCCACTTTCTAATCCCCCAAACATTCAATAATTCATCAACATCCTTGAGTAAATTTAAATTTGGATTGATTTCTACATTTAAAATCTGGATTTAGTATTTTTAGTAGAAGAATTCAATGGAAGTAGGAAGCCATTAATTGTGCAACTTCTCAGCATCTGATGCATGCATATGGTGTGGCTTTGTAGGGCTTCTGGGCAGGGCATTAAATTATGTGACAATAACAGAATACCAATAACATACCTGAGGCTGCATCAGACAGGGGATGATCTGTTTGTGTGTGGTTAGTTCTGTTGCTCCGTCAAGGGAAAGCAGCCTTTAGCTTTGTGAAGGCCAATGTGGATCCCTGACAGAAAGCTGCAGTCAGACACTATCACATTTTAAGAAAAATAAACTCTGTGATGATTCTGGCCAACCTCAATCTGTAATGTGGCTGAAAATGAACAGAGGTTGGGTGTTCAATTTCAGGCCAAGAAAGCTTCCGCAGCACTGGCTATTACAAGTGTCATATTTCAGTCCCTTTGGTTCACTTCACTTGGCAGAATTTGTTCAAGACAAGTCTGGAGTGATTTATCCTGTTCACTAATGAGTTCTTCCTCCAAAAGAGAAGTTCCTCCCAAGCTGGGGTCCAAGTCATTAGCACAAGGATCTGGAGGACTGCTCAGAGCTTAGGAGACTCAATTGGCAGAAGAAATTTGGGGTTCCAAATCAGCCAATTGTAAAGAGTCACGCAATCACTCGGGATCTCATAACTCTGATACACCGATAGAAAAGTATTTCTTAAATTTTAAAATTAATCTTTATCCATGGTAAGCATACGAATTATACAGTCTTGGAGACTGGAAAATAGATTTAAAAACCAATCCCACCCACCTCCACAAAAGCACATTCTCAAGAGATAACCACTATTATAAGTCTTCTTGGCATCCTTCTAAACATTTTCTAGATATATGTGCTCATGCATAGGTAAATAGACGGATAGTGATAGGACCAATCAAAGAATACGATTCCTCAACTTACAGGGCATGGCACTCTGCAATGATGGCCCTAATTCTTCACTCCTTCCTGTAACTTTGCAGTGCTTTCCTACCATGGGTAGTTGACCTGCTCCATCATTTGGCATTGAGCTCAGCCACGTCAAATGCTTTGGCTAATGGGATGTTAGCAGAATTGAAAGAGCAGTGGTTTGAAATAGTGTTGTGCATTGGGGCTGCTCTCTTGAACCTCTACTGCCATATTAAGAATTTGTCTCAGCTCGCCTGCCAGGGTATATGAGGCACATGGAGCAGAGCTGAGTGATCCCAGTCACCCCAGCCCACACCAAAAGCCTGCCAACAGCCTGCCAACAACATTCAGATATATGAGTTGATCAACAAAGATCAACAAAGACTACTAGCTACTCCACCCACATTTGACCCCAGATGCTTGGGGAATGAACACATTGTTGTATGGCCACTGAGGTTGGTAGTTATTTGTTAAGCAACATTATTGTGACAGTAGGTAACTAATACGTATGTCTTAGAGCTTTTCCCATATTGGCACAAAAAGACCTACCTTTTTGTTTTCACTAACTGCAAAATATTCCATTGTGTGTAAGTACTGTAAGTGCTCTGATTTAGTTAATTCATCCTCTGTTGACAGGCATTTAGGTTGTTTCCAGCTTTTTGCTAGCCAAACAACACTGCCAAGGACATATCCCAGATAGATATCTATCTAGATATCTAGACTTGGCACACTGATCCAAAGGATACATTTCTAGAGGTAGAAATGCTACATCAAAAGATGCGCATTTCAAATTTTGCTAACTATTGTCATAAAAACTTGCTTCTAAACTGTCTGTGCAGGTCACCATCTAATTTTAAGGACGAGAAAGGTTTCTAGCCTCTTCTAAAACTAATGCATCTTTTTGAAAGAATGTTACAGGAATTTGATATTTATTAACTTCTAAATTTTACTAACATTATAATGTTTCTTGTCTTCAAAGTATACAAAATATTGACTATTGTCATCACTATGTTTTGATATACAGAGCCTTTTCTTTCTTTGTTTGTTTATTTCTGAATACAAGAAGTTATATCCTCAAGGTCAGACTTCATTAGCTCTGACGGTCTGGCTTGGGAAATTCCCATAAAGGACTGGAAGTGCAGGGCTTCAGCTCTAAGACTTGGTGATAGCCTGAAGCCTCAGGGGGAACAGATGGCAGAATCAGTAACCACCAAACTACCTCTCCTTTCATAAAATTCTCTCCTCTTTGATGTTAGGTAATGAAAAGAACGAAGGCTTTGGGGTTCCCCAGAATTTAGTTTGATCAGAGTGTTGCCTTTTATGTACTGTGTGGGTTTAAGTATGCTATAGAAATTCATGGGCCTCAGTTTTCTCGCCCATGCAAGAAAATGGTGATATTTATTGTTTTGTGAAATCTAGTCCACTTCTCATATCTGTTGCTCCTTGCAAACAAAAAAAAACATGAGGCAGCTGCTGGGACAACTCACATCTCAGGAATGAGGAAGCATATTGAAGTGAAAAGAGCACCACGAACTTGTGTTTAAAGGCTCACAGTGCATCCTCCTGCTGACCTTCCTGAGTGACCTTGTGTGTGGTCAGTTAATCTCTCTGCACTTTGTTTCCTCCATTGTGAATGGGGATATGAAATCTGTCTTGCAGGGCTGGAGGGAGGACTAGAGGTGCTGTGTGTGAAGCACCTAGCACAAGGTTTGACACACAGAGGACTCCCAATAGTGGTACTTCTTAGTACTTTTATTTGTGTGGCTCTCCTGACCATAAATGAGTGGTTGTGTTGTCATTTTACCTCACTCTTCCCCACTTCCCACAGTATTTAATCTAATTTAGGGAGCACATTCTTTCTCCACATTTTCACATCTCTGGAAATAGTCTGTGGCTTAAAATTGATGATATCTGGCTGGGCACGTTGACTCACACCTGTAATCCCAGCACTTTGGGAGGCCAAGGCAGGTAGATCACCTGAGGTCAGGAGTCCAGGACCAGCCTGGCCAACATGGTGAAACCCCATCTCTACTAAAAATGCAAAAATTAGCTAGGCGTGGTTGCAGGTGCCTGTAATCCCAGCTACTAGGGAGTCTGAGGCAGAAGAATTGCTTGAACCCAGGAGGCGGAGGTTGCAGTGAGCCAAGATCATGCCATTGCACTCTAGCCTGGGCAGCAAACGCTAAACTCCATCTTAAGAAAAAAAAATTAATGATATCTTATAATTGTGGACAGCCAGGTCACAGTCATAACGTAATTGTCATTGCCTGTGCATGCAAAAACTCGGTGGCATGACTGGACAACTGGAAACTTTCTGTGTCTCACTCCAAAGACCATTTAAGGACCATTTGAGGAAGGTCTAAAATTTCTGCCTATTGTCTGAAAACTTATTATTTCCACTACTGCTATTTTCATGACCATCCGTTAAGAGCTTAACAGGTGAAGGAATCTGGGCTAAGAACCAGAAATATAAAGCCCTTGAGGGTCTTAAATATCACCAGGGAAACAGGGCATAGATTTAAAATGTAATTAACTCTGTGAAGCAGTCTGTGGCTGATGCCAGGCAATAGTGCAGACACTATATAAATGCTTCAGGGGGCAAAGACAAGAGAAATGGCTGGGAGGGTGAAGATTCAGAGACAGCCTCGCAAAAGAGAAAAAACATCAGGAGGCTTTGAAATGAGGATTGGACTTAGGGGAAAAGCGCGATCTTTCTGGAATGGAGGATGGTTGGAACAATGGAGCAGTGGGGAAAATACCTGAAGAGTATTAAAAAATAGAAGCACCCTCTTTAGATTGACGCATCAGGTTCACCAGGTGAAGGGAATAGGGTGGTAAATAAACCAAGAGTTAGGAACAGGCTAGACAATGACCTTAAAGTCACCTTGGATGTCCCTCCTTATTTTTAATTCATAAGTTAATGATGTGAATGCTTGTGGATGATTGCCATTTAGGCCATTGAGAATAGGAGGGAAATTTCTTCTTCATGGATGATTTGATCTGATTGTTCAGAACCAGAAGAGGTCTCAAAAGACAATTTGTCCTGCTATCTGATTATTACTGGAAACAATGGCATAATTATCAACCACTCAGAAATGGAGAGCATTATTTTTGGCAGATGTCTTTTAAATGTAATTGGTTCAATTTCATAACCCCAGGAAGCTAGTCGATTTATTTGGTTACTGAGAAGCTTTATTGAGACATTTCTATGGCCACAGTGGGCAATTGGTAACACCTGCTTTGAGGATCACATGAGCCAGTATTATCCTGGCCATATGGTGTACAACTTTTAAGACATAAGCAATTATTTGTTTATGGATTAGATTCAGGCAATTTCTTAAGACAAGCCTGCCTGATGCTGAGAAAGAGAGCCCATCCAACTGAAAGTTTCGAAAACCTCATTAAAGTCTTCAAATGTTCATCAAGGATGAGACTGATCTTTGCAGTAAGACCTGAGACCATGACCAAGATATTGAAAGTTGCAACCTGCTCTCATTCCCCCTATGATCCTGCATTCTCTAGACATCTTTACCTGCTGTGTTGTTGGTTTTGTTACACAGAATTTGTCACCTTTTGATATACTATATAATATACATATTTACTAAATTTATTGTTCATTATTTTCTTACCTAGCTGGAATGTATATTTTACAAGGGCAGTAGTTTTAGTCTGCTCTGTGTATTGCTGTATCATGGAAGTCTAGAACAGTGCCTGAACTTTACAAACTTCAAATATTTGAGGAACTGTCACTTGGATGAGTGCTTTCATCAAGAGGAATCCTGGGATGTTGTGGAGGAGACTATCATATACTCCTGGGATAAGTTCCGTATCTGGATCTGTGGCTTTGCTTTTTCTTTACTCTAGGAATCTATGACTTTATACTATGAAAAAGGAGAACAAATAAAGTTAAAATATGCTTAACATTGGTTGAGGTGCAACATGTGTGTAGCAATGTTTCACAGATATGTCTAATGCCAGGGGAGGTCTTTTCACTTGACAAATAGCCTGGATGGTGTTTTGGTTTACAAAAGCTGGCAGAAATAGACGTAAGCCTAATCTTATGTCTTTGATTTACAAAAGTGACTCTTTCTATTGCTCTTCACCACTGGAGTTTGGGATTGGGACTATATATTCTGGCAAAGTAATCAAATTGGATACATCAGTTCATTTGCTGGATTTCAGCTTTTACAAGTAGTTCCTAACCCTCCACCACCTATCTTCATTAATTAAATTCATACCGAGCCCACTGTATGTTTCTCTCAAGCCCCTCAAGAACACAATTAAGTCATGTTGCAATTTTTTAGCACCATGATACTTCAAAGAGAGGTCGGGGAAAGAAAGTAAGTTAAGTGAAAAAAACTTAAATAAAGGCAAGATTTTCCAGTGTTATCTTCTGAAAGTGAATGGCATATATTTATGTGAGAGTTGCATTATATTTTGTTATTTAGTTGCTAAATTTAAATTCCAATGGTCATTTTCAGCATTTCCTCTGTAAGGGAAAACATTCTGTAGATATTTTGTCTGGTGTGCTTTTCAATATATTGTGTGTGGTTAGTAATATGCTAAGCAGAAGTCTGAGGGTGCCTTATTTTATTTCATCAATGGATTGCTAGGTAGGAAATGAAAAGGATGGAAGCATGTTACCCACTTATCCACTAACTTAGGTTTTTTGAAAAACTCCTTGAATTTCACAAAAATCTCCCAGTTTATATCATTTTTGCCAAATATATCTAGCAAATGCTTTGCTATTCTAAGCAAGTTACACACCCGAAATAAGGGGTATCTAGCAACTTGAAACCTAGCTAAACTAATATTAGTGAATCAATTAATACTACTGTTTATTAAATCTTTTATTGACATTTGTTGTTTAAAAAGTGCACAGATCCCAAGCATGCAGCTCAGTGAATTCCCACAACCTGAATACACCTATGCAACAACACCCAGATCAAGAAACAGAAAAATGTCAGCAGTTCAAGAGCCCTTCCAATCACTGCCCACCCTCCAAGATGAACCACTAACCTCAGCAGTACAGTATGGATTAGTTCTCCCTTCTTTTTTGTTCTTTATGTAAATGGAATCATACCTATGTACTCTTTTGTGTTTGGCTTCATTTTTCTTATATCTGTGAGATATATATTCTGCATTGGATTTATAAAGTTAGAGGTCACTTATTCTCATTGCTGTACAGTATTCCATTGTGTGGGTATACCAAAATTTACTTGTCTTTTCAACACTCATTGGGCATTTGGGCAGTTTCTAGTGAGGGGCTATTGCAAATGCTGCTGCCATGAACATTCTAGTGCATGGAATTATGGTGGAAACATGTAGGATATTCTATTAGTTACATAAGAGTAGAATTTCAGGTTCCAACACCCTTCTGTAAGTGACCTGATTGTTCTCCCAAAAGAAAAACATACAAATATGCATAGATGAGTAAAGAATATGTCATGGCAGGGGGAGGAGCCAAGATGGCCGAATAGGAACAGCTCCAGTCTACAGCTCCCAGCGTGAGCGAGGCAGAAGACGGGTGATTTCTGCATTTCCATCTGAGGTACCGGGTTCATCTCACTAGGGAGTGCCAGACAGTGGGCACAGGTCAGTGGGTGCAGCGCACCATGCGCAAGGTGAAGCAGGGCGAGGCATTGCCTCACTCGGGAAGCTCAAGGGGTCAAGGAGTTCCCTTTCCTAGTCAAAGAAAGGGGTGACAGACGGCACCTGGAAAATCGGGTCACTCCCACCTGAATACTGCACTTTTCCGACGGGCTTAAAAAACGGCACACCAGGAGATTATATCGCACACCTGGCTCAGAGGGTCCTATGCCCACGGAGTCTTGCTGATCACTAGCACAGAAGTCTGACATCAAACTGCAAGGCGGCAGCGAGGCTGGGGGAGGGGCGCCTGCCATTGCCCAGGCTTGCTTAGGTAAACAAAGCAGCTGGGAAGCTCAAACTGGGTGGAGTCCACCACAGCTCAAGGAGGCCTGCCTGCCTCTGTAGGTTCCACCTCTGGGGGCAGCGCACAGACAAACAAAAAGACAGCAGTAACCTCCGCAGACTTAAATGTCCCTGTCTGACAGCTTTGAACAGAGCAGTGGTTCTCCCAGCATGCAGCTGGAGATCTGAGAACGGGCAGACTGCCTCCTCAAGTGGGTCCCTGACCCCTGACCCCTGAGCAGCCTAACTGGGAGGCACCCCCCAGTAGGGACAGACTGACACTTCACACGGCCGGATACTCCTCTGAGACAAAACTTTCAGAGGAACGATCAGACAGCAGCATTCGTGGTTCATGAAAAACCGCTGTTCTGCAAACACCGCTGCTGATACCCAGGCAAACAGGGTCTGGAGTGGACCTCTAGCAAACTCCAACAGACTTGCATTTGAGGGTCCTGTCTGTTAGAAGGAAAACTAACAAACAGAAAGGACATCCACACCAAAAACCCATCAAAAACCAAAAGTAGATAAAACCACAAAGATGGGGAAAAAACAGAGCAGAAAAACTGGAAACTCTAAAAAGCAGAGCACCTCTCCTCCTCCAGAGGAACGCAGTTCCTCACCAGCAATGGAACAAAGCTGGACGGAGAATGACTTTGACGAGTTGAGAGAAGAAGGCTTCAGATGATCAAACTACGAACTACAGGAGGAAATTCAAACTAAAGGCAAAGAAGTTAAAAACTTTGAAAAAAATTTAGAAGAATGTATAACTAGAATAACCAATACAGAGAAGTGCTTAAAGGAGCTGATGGAGCTGAAAGCCAAGGCTCGAGAACTATGTGAAGAATGCAGAAGCCTCAGGAGCTGATGTGATCAACTGGATATCAGTGTATCAGTGACGGAAGATGAAATGAATGAAATGAAGTGAGAAGGGAAGTTTAGAGAAAAAAAGAATAAAAAGAAATGAACAAAGCCTCCAAGAAATATGGGACTATGTGAAAAGACCAAATCTACATCTAACTGGTTTACCTGAAAGTGACGGGGAGAACGGAACCAAGTTGGAAAACACTCTGCAGGATATTATCCAGGAGAACTTCCCCAATCTAGCAAGGCAGGCCAACATTCAGATTCAGGAAATACAGAGAACGCCACAAAGATACTCCTCGAGAAGAGCAAGTCCAAGACACATAATTGTCAGATTCACCAAAGTTGAAATGCAGGAAAAAATGTTAAGGGCAGCCAGAGAGAAAGGTAGGGTTACCCACAAAGGGAAGCCCATCAGACTAACAGCGGATCTCTCGGCAGAAACTCTAAAAGCCAGAAGAGAGTGGGGGCCAATATTCAACATTTTTAAAGAAAAGGATTTTCAAGCCAGAATTTCATATCCAGCCAAACTAAGCTTCATAAGTGAAGGAGAAATAAAATACTTTACAGACAAGCAAATGCTGAGAGATTTTGTCACCACCAGGCCTGCCTTAAAAGAGCTCCTGAAGGAAGCACTAAACATGGAAAGGAACAACCGGTACCAGCCGCTGCAAAATCATGCCAAAATGTAAAGACCATCGAGACTAGGAAGAAACTGCATCAACTAACGAGCAAAATAACCAGCTAACACCATAATGACAGGATCAAATTCACACATAACAATATTAACTTTAAATGTAAATGGCCTAAATGCTCCAATTAAAAGACACAGACTGGCAAATTGGATAAAGAGTCAAGACCCATCAATGTGCTGTATTCAGGAAACCCATCTCACATGCAGAGACACACATAGGCTCAAAATAAAAGGATGGAGGAAGATCTACCAAGCAAATGGAAAACAAAAAAAGGCAGGGGTTGCAATCCTAGTCTCTGATAAAACAGACTTTAAACCAACAAAGATCAAAAGAGACAAAGAAGGCCATTACATAATGGTAAAGGGATCAATTCAACAAGAAGAGCTAACTATCCTAAATATATATGCGCCCAACACAGGAGCACCCAGATTCATAAAGCAAGTCCTGAGTGACCTACAAAGAGACTTAGACTCCCACACATTAATAATGGGAGACTTTAACACCCCACTGTCAACATTAGACAGATCAACAAGACAGAAAGTTAACAAGGATACCCAGGAATTGAACTCAGCTCTGCACCAAGTGGACCTAATAGACATCTACAGAACTCTCCACCCCATATCAATAGAATATACATTTTGTTCAGCACCACACCACACCTATTCCAAAATTGACCACATACTTGGAAGTAAAGCTCTCCTCAGCAAATGTAAAAGAACAGAAATTATAACAAACTATCTCTCGGACCACAGTGCAATCAAACTAGAACTCAGGATTAAGAAACTCACTCAAAACTGCTCAACTACATGGAAGCTGAATAACCTGCTCCTGAATGACTACTGGGTACATAACGAAATGAAGGCAGAAATAAAGATGTTCTTTGAAACCAACAAGAACAAAGACACAACATACCAGAATCTCTGGGACACATTCAAAGCAGTGTGTAGAGGGAAATTTATAGCACTAAATGCCCACAAGAGAAAGCAGGAAAGATCCAAAATTGACACCCTAACATCACAATTAAAAGAACTAGAAAAGCAAGAGCAAACACATTCAAAAGCTAGCAGAAGGCAAGAAATAACTAAGATCAGAGCAGAACTGAAGGAAATAGAGACACAAAAAACCCTTAATGAATCCAGGAGATGGTTTTTTGAAAGGATCAACAAAATAGATAGACCAGTAGCAAGACTAATAAAGAAAAAAAGAGAGAAGAATCAAATAGACGCAATAAAAAATGACAAAGGGGATATCACCACCGATCCCACAGACATACAAACTACCATCAGAGAATACTACAAACACCTCTATGCAAATAAACTAGAAAATCTAGAAGAAATGGATACATTCCTCAACACATACACTCTCCCAAGACTAAACCAAGAAGAAGTTGAATCTCTGAATAGACCAATAAGAGGAGCTGAAATTGTGGCAATAATCAATAGCTTACCAACGAAAAAGAGTCCAGGATCAGATGGATTCACAGCCAAATTCTACCAGAGGTACAAGGAGGAACTGGTACCATTCCTTCTGAAACTATTCCAATCAATAGAAAAAGAGGGAATCCTCCCTAACTCATTTTATGAGGCCAGCATCATCCTGATACCAAAGCTGGGCAGAGACACAACCAAAAAAGAAAATTTTAGACCGATATCCTTGATGAACATTGATGCAAAAATCCTCAATAAAATACTGGCAAACTGAATCCAGCAGCACATCAAAAAGCTTATCCACCATGATCAAGTGGGTTTCATCTCTGGGATGCAAGGCTGGATCAATATACGCAAACCAATAAATGTAATCCAGCATATAAACAGAACCAAAGACAAAAACCACATGATTATCTCAATAGATTCAGAAAAGGCCTTTGACAAAATTCAACAATGCTTCATGCTAAAAACTCTCAATAAATTAGGTATTGATGGGACGTATCTCAAAATAATAAGAGCTATCTATGACAAACCCACAGCCAATATCATACTGAATGGGCAAAAACTGGAATGGGCAAAAACTGGAAGCATTCCCTTTGAAAACTGGCACAAGACAGGATGCCCTCTCTCACCACTCCTATTCAACATAGTGTTGGAAGTTCTGGCCAGGGCAATTAGGCAGGAGAAGGAAATAAAGGCTATTCAATTAGGAAAAGAGGAAGTCAAATTGTCCCTCTTTGCAGACGACATGATTGTATATATAGAAAACCCCATTGTCTCAGCCCAAAATCTCCTTAAGCTGATAAGCAACTTCAGCAAAGTCTCAGGATACAAAATCAATGTACAAAAATCACAAGCATTCTTATACACCAATAACAGACAGAGAGCCAAATCATGAGTGAACTCCCATTCACAATTGCTTCAAAGAGAATAAAATACCTAGGAATCCAACTTACAAGGGATGTGAAGGACCTCTTCAAGGAGAACTACAAACCACTGCTCAATGAAATTAGAGAATACAAACAAATGGAAGAACATTCCATGCTCATGGGTAGGAAGAATCAATATCGTGAAAATGGCCATACTGCCCAAGGTAATTTATAGATTCAATGCCATCCCCATCAAGCTACCAATGACTTTCTTCACAGAATTGGAAAAAACTACTTTAAAGTTCATATGGAACCAAAAAAGAGCCCGCATCACCGAGTCAATCCTAAGCCAAAAGAACAAAGCTGGAGGCATCACACTACCTGACTTCAAACTATACTACAAGGCTACAGTAACCAAAACAGCATGGTACTGGTACCAAAACAGATATATAGATCAATGGAACAGAACAGAGCCCTCAGAAATAACGCCGCATATCTACAACTATCTGATCTTTGACAAACCTGAGAAAAACAAGCAATGGGGAAAGGATTCCCTATTTAATAAATGGTGCTGGGAAAACTGGCTAGCCATATGTAGAAAGCTGAAACTGGATCCCTTCCTTACATCTTATTCAAAAATTAATTCAAGATGGATTAAAGACTTACATGTTAGACCTAAAACCATAAAAACCCTAGAAGAAAACCTAGGCAATACCATTCAGGACATAGGCATGGGCAAGGACTTCATGTCTAAAACACCAAAAGCAATGGCAACAAAAGCCAAAATTGACAAATGGGATCTAATTAAACTAAAGAGCTTCTGCACAGCAAAAGAAGCTACCGTCAGAGTGAACAGGCAACCTACAAAATGGGAGAAAATTTTCTCAACCTACTCATCTGACAAAGGGCTAATATCCAGAATCTACAATGAACTCAAACAAATTTACAAGAAAAAAACAAACAACCCCATCAAAAAGTGGGCAAAGGACATGAACAGACATTTCTCAAAAGAAGACATTAATGCAGCCAAAAAAGACATGCAAAAATGCTCACCATCACTGGCCATCATAGAAACGCAAATCAAAACCACAATGAGATACCATCTCACACCAGTTAGAATGGCAATCATTAAAAGGTCAGGAAACAACAGGTGCTGGAGAGGATGTGGAGAAATAGGAACACTTTTACACTGTTGGTGGGACTGTAAACTAGTTCAACCATTGTGGAAGTCAGTGTGGCGATTCCTCAGGGATCTAGAACTAGAAATACCATTTGACCCAGCCATCCCATTACTGGGTATATACCCAAAGGACTATAAATCATGCTGCTATAAAGACAGATACACACGTATGTTTATTGCGGCACTATTCACAATAGCAAAGACTTGGAACCAACCCAAATGTCCAACCATGATAGACTGGATTAAGAAAATGTGGCACATATACACCATGGAATGCTATGCAGCCATAAAAAGTGATGAGTTCATGTCCTTTGTAGGGACATGGATGAAATTGGAAATCATCATTCTCAGTAAACTATCGCAAGAACAAAAAGCCAAACACCGCATGTTCTCACTCATAGGTGGGAATTGAACAATGAGAACACATGGACACAGGAAGGGGAACATCACACTCTGGGGACTGTTGTGGGGTTGGGGGAGGGGGGAGGGATAGCACTGGGAGATATACCTAATGCTAGATGACGAGTTAGTGGGTGGAGCCACTAGCATGGCACATGTATACATATGTAACTAACCTGCACATTGTGCACATGTACCCTAAAACTTAAAGTATAATAATAATAAAAAAAAAGAAAATGACATAAGAAAAAAAAAAAAAGAATATGTCATGGCAATAGAATCCAGTGATAGTCATAAGCTCTTGAAGATTTCATAAGAGACTACAAGGTTTTCATAGGGTCCCCTACTTCGTGCTATGAAGAATACAAATTCCTTATCTCTCCCACAGAGAGATGAGGTGGGGGTAAATCTTCCCATCACCAAAAAAGCCACAGAGAACTTTACTTTCCAAAATCAAAGCATCTAAGTGACAAGTTAGACTGTTGCTTCTCATTCCAATAAATTATCCTATTTGTATTTGCCTTTCTAGCAGGCACCAAGGAGAGCAGGGAACCATAATGAAAATTCATGCTTGCAAATCACCCTCCAACTGTAAAGTATTTTATGGATATTAACTAATTAATCCTTTACTTCTTTCCTCCTGTTTCCCCACCTTTTCTCCCCACCATGAAGCAGGTGGCATCCCCATATTGTGTCACTCATTTGCAAAAAGATAAACACAAGAACAGGTTATGCCGTATCATTTATGAGGTCCAACAGTGTAAAATAAATACTTCACTGCCTGGGGCCTTCATGAAATAAAATTACCACATACTTTGAGCCTAGAGCTCTAAATTGCACAGATAAAGCCTCTGAAGAATTTTTATCCCATATGACAGGAGAGATGGATTCGTTGTTGGATTTATTTACTAAACTGTCACAGTGGTTGCTCATGAATATCAATGATTTGATAGCTCCTGAGGAAGCTGTGGAAGAGCCTTAAGAGGGAAAAATTGCTAAATGTTTCTGAACATGGGACTGAGCAAAGGTGACTAAAGTGGTTACTCTCAGTTCCCCCCATTCCACTACAATCCAAACAGAAAATTTGAAAAATTGTTTAGAAAAGGATGCATAGGTGAAATGACACTTAGATTTGTAAATATAGAGAAAAAGTGATGTCTGTTCCTGAATGTGTTTGTGATTAGAAATGGGCATCTGATTAGGAATTTCTGATTTTTAAAAAATAATCAGATTTCATGTAAGCTCTGGTTGTCTGTATTTAGATATTAACCACCAATTAAATTTGGTTTATTATTTTCTAATGGAAAAAAAGCCTAGGCATGTGGAAAATTTCTCTCATTTTATATTTATGATGCACAAAAATGGAGTAATCTACTTTTAATTTTAGATACAACCTACCTTTTTAAAATCAGGAACCAGAAAAGTAATCAGAACTAGTGATTATACCAGACAAAAAAGAATTCTTCCTGAGGCTACGTTCTGCTCTGGTTCTATGCTCTCCACTTACTCTGGTTTCCCAGAACTTTTTTGTGCATATTGAGGGCACTGGAGGTTCCTTGGGGCATTGAATAGAAAAAGGGAGAGAGAGAGAGAAACAAGTTGTTATTAGGCTTGATAGGTTTGTTCAAAAGAGAAATTAAGATACTTAATATTTGATTTTTTTCTACCCATCTAGACACTCCTGGGGTGAAAGCCCCATGTGAGAAATGACTAAAGAAAAATAAAACAGAGCCACTGCCCTCAGGGACTCTACAGATAGGGGCAGGGATAAGTCAAGTAGGCATATGTCTAAAGCATGAGATAGAGCGGGCAAGTGGTCTGCAAAAGAGTGGACTGATCTGCTCAAGGGGGCCCACATGCCCGTCCCCCATGATGTATAGAAATGCCCCTCAATAGTAACACATTTACCAAAATACAGAGCAGTGCTCCAAGCAGGCCAGGGATATCTTGAGATCCTAGAAATGAAGAGGGACTCAAAGCTGGAATAATAAGCTGGAGTTGAAGCCAACATGTCCAAGGAAGGAAATCGACCTTAGGACCAGGACCTTCAATACCAGTTTGAGGTACACAGTGAGCATCTCCTATGGAAAAGGGCTCTTATGCTTTTAAAGAGAATTTGAGAAGTAGAGCATTTAATTCAGCGAGGAAAAAAACAACACAAAACAACACAAAACAACACAAAGAGGTGGAACCACAAAGGAGCTAGGAGAGGACCAGAAGTGAAGTGGGCAAAGCCAGGAAAAGAGGCCTTAAAGGTCGAGGGAGAATCAGTCTGAGAGGCCATCGGAAGTGTCCTTGATGACGTGTGTGTGGGAGGGTGTGGTGGGGGAGTGCTCAAATGGAAGTAGCTATGAGGGAGTAGAGGTAGCTGAGACAGAGGAGGTATAAAAGGTGAGGGGAAAAAAAAAGGCAGAAAAATGCAGGAGTAGCCAGCCTGAATAGAGTTTTATTTTCTGATGGTTGTTTTTGTTGTTTGAGGATAAAAGAGGTGTTTATATGTTTGTAAGCAAAAAGTCAAAGACAGAGGGAGTGAGAGGTTGAAATCCAAATTACTATAATAGAGGAAAAACCAGGAGGAAGCAGAAAAGATTGGACTCAAAAAGTAGGTGGGGTTAACAATGAAAAGGAGTAGGTATCCTGGCTAAGATGGTGAAACCCCATCTCTACCAAAAATATAAAAATTAGCTGGGCATGGTGGCACACACCTGTAATCCCAGCTACTCGGGAGGCTGAGACAACAGAATCACTTGAACCTGGGAGGCAGTGGTTGCAATGAGCTGAGATCGGGCCACTGCACTCCAGCCTGATGACAGAGCAAGATTCCATCTCAAAAAAAAAAAAAAAAGTAGGTAAAAGCAATGATTTTCTTATTTATCATTCATGGTATTTTATTATGTTTGGGCATTACTATTGCTGATGGAAGTCTGCAAAATGAGATGTCATTAGTTTTAGGTCATTTACCTTTTTATCTTGGCATTATGTTAATGAGTTTTGCTTAACAAATGATTCTAAAAGCAGTAGTATAAAACTATAAGCATTTATTATCTCAAACAGTTGCTGTGGGTCAGGAACCTAGAAGTAGCTTGTATGGGTGGTCTGGCTTGGGCTCTGTCATGAGGCTACAGTTAAGACGTTGACTGGAGCTAAACGTTTGACTGAGGCTGGAGGATCCAAGATAGATTGCTCTCACACAACAGAAGTTACTGCTGGTTGTTGGCGGGAGGCCTTAGGAACTCTGCATGGACCTCTCTATAGGGCTGCTTGAGAGCCCTCACAACATGGCAGCTGCCTTCCTCCAGAGTAGGTGATGTGTGTGTGTGTGTGTGTGTGTGTGTGTGTGTGTGTGTGTGTGTGTGTGTGTGAGAGAGAGAGAGAGAGAGAGAGGGAGAGAGAGAGAGATCTCAAATCCTTTAATGACCTAGACTTGAAGGAAGTCACAAATTATTTAGTGGAAGTCATACATGTTCACTTCTACTGCATTCTGTTAGTTAGAAGTACTTCCCTATGTAGAGACACACTCAAGTGAAAGGGAACCAGGCTCTACCACTTGAAATAAGGAGTATCAAGGAACTTGTGGACAGCTTTTAAAACTACCACTGGCAACTAGGTCTTGAGGTGGATAAATGAAGAAATTTGGGGAATCTCACACTGGAGATGTTTGATGTAGTTAAATGATCTGAGATTCATTAGGTGTGAAATAATGAAGTGTATATATAGTTCTGCATATACATGCCTGGGAAGGTATAATATTCAGAGCATACTATCACTCAATTGTATCTGCTGTGGCCTCAGACAGTACAGGGCAGTGTTTGCATTGATAATAGAATGGGAAAGGGAGGGAGCGGATGCATCAGTGGCTCCATGTGTTACTCCATTTCTTTGCAGATTTCCTCAGTGAGTCCTCTTTGATGTAGTATGTTGCAGGAGAAACAATGATATGAGTCACAGAGTTTCTGTAAGTTCTGACCTCCCTTGTCCAGCTGCTTAGAGTAGGGCAGCCCTTGTAAAGTAAAAAGAGCCAGATTTGAGGTGAAGCTTCTAACATAGCACAATAAAAAGAGAAGAATTTGCCCCCAGTTTTGTTACCATTTTCCTTCAGCGCACTTGGAAGGAAGAAGGAATTAATGAGGCTCATTGTGTATGCAAGGGTAAGCACAGTTTGTGTTGAGCTGAGTCTAGCAGAAGCTGAAAAAGCATATCTGGCACAGCTAAGTAATTAGACTTCACATTTCTCACATTTTGTAAGGAAAGAAAATGTCTTTAGTGGGAAGCGTCTTTAAACTCATTTTCCACGGACAGAAAAGACTTTCTAAGCCCAACCCTGGGCTTGGTCCTTTGTGGACCACATTTAAAATGAAGGTAGAAATTAATGTAGTCATGTTTTAGGTTATTTGTATGCTCTGCAAGAAAGGGATGACCGCTTAAGAGCAGGGCTGGTGCCAGGTTCCTGACTAGAATTAAAATCCAGGAAAATATCTGTCTAGATCAAATATAGAAATCAGGGCAATGATGAAGACATCTATTTCCATTATTCTCAAATGACTGGAAATACCTAGAAAACAATGATCATGTCTTTCATATACTGATTAAAATATGGTCTTTGGAGCCAGATTTCCTGGATTCAGTTCTGACTCTGCCACTTAATAGCTGTGTGATTTGACACAGTCGAAATTAATTTCCTCCTTCTCTATCTCAGTTTTCTTGTCTGTAAAATGGGGAAAATAAGAGTACCTGCTGCAAAGGACTGCTGTGAAGAAGTAGATAATATATGTAAGTCACAAAAACAGTGACTAGTGCATTATAAGAACTGCAAAGGTTAGCTTTTTTATGACTCTTAATTATTACTAAGAATAGTTGTGCAACAAGTAGGTGCCGAATAAATATTTGCTATTTGAACTGAGCACTAAGACTGATAAACACCTGTCCCCATTACAGCATTAGCTACTGCATCCACTGCCTGCCTCCATGCTCTAGTAACACTTGTAGTTATAGTACTTGTCACACTGTATCATAATTGTGGTCCACATCTGTCTCCTCCACTTGAACTGCAATTATTTTAAGGGTAGAGTGCATGTCTTATTTATCTCTTTTTCATCAGCATTTATCTCAGTGAACTCTATAAAAGTTCACAATAAATGTTTGTGGATATAGTGATTAATTAAAATTAATCAGCAACATTCATTAGGCACCTACGATGTGCCAGGCACATTGCTAGTTGCAAGAATACAGCAATGACCTAGACAGACACTATCTTTGCTTTAATTGAGTTTACCATGTTGTAGAGCTGTTTGCAGAATCCTGGGTCCCTCTGGGACACTGAGAGAGAGAGGAGGAAGGCAATACATAATGTTTGCTGATGCTACTCCATATCAATTAAGATGTCTAAGACAGCAGATAGCAGAAAACCCAACTAATAGTGACCTAAACCTTAAGACACATATGGTTCCAGTAAAAAAAAAAGTCTGGTGTTAGATGGTTCTGAAGATGGTTCATTAGCTCTCTGTTGTCAGGGTGATAGGTTAGTGTATCAGCAATTCCACTGGGTTTCCCCTAAAGGTAGCAAGATGGTTACCAAAGCTGCAGGCATGTCCTCATCCCCATCATCTCCAAAAGCAGGAGGCATGAGGAATTTCCATGTGCCTGTCTCCTTTTAATAGGAGGAATATCTTTTCCCAAATCTCTCCAGTAGATCTACTTTAGATCATCTAAGATGGGATCACATGGCATTCTCATCTTTAAAGAAGGCTGGGAAATTGAGTTTCTATTTTGTTTAGCCTGTAATAAGTTGCAAGAGGAAAAAGTAGTGGGAATGGCTTTGGGGTAGTCAAACAACTCTGGCTACTCTTACTCTTCTTGTTTCCCATGACCTAAAAGGAAAAGAAAGTGTGAGAAGGCATTGTGTGATTCTCTGCACTCAACCTCACCCTGTCCTCCACCTGTAAAATGATGAGATAGAATAGGTGGTCCTTGAGGGTCCATTCAGCTTTTCTTTTTAGAGTCAGTTATCTATGACCACAGACCATGGACAGCAAGGCTTGATCACAAGCAGCTTTCATTTCTGTGCATAATAACTATGTTCCAGATACTGTGCACACTTTAACACTCATTTGAACAGAAATATTAGGAGTCAATATGTCTGGGTTCTAGTCAGAGCCTTGGATTTTGACAAGTCACATGTCTTCTCCAAGCTTCAGAGTTATCATCATTTAAATGGAGATAATTATGCCCAACAGCAAGGTTGCTATGTGGGTTAAATGTGATATTCCGTGTAATTTGCATTTTGTTTATAGCCTGATTAGTTTCACAGAGGATTTGAGGTGAATGTTCTTTGTAAGTTGTTGTTATTATTATTACCTCTTTACACAATTCTGCTATCCAAACAACCATATCAAAGTAACAGAACATTCAAAACAAGCCCCAAACACTTCATCCTGCACCTACAGGGATAAGCTCTAGCCCTCATATGGAATCCTGGAATCACTGCTATCAGAGTTGTCAGTTTTCTCCCCATAGGTGCCAGCACATGAGCTCTTGTTTTAGTGTGTCACCTTGGGTTTCTGGGATCTTCAAAATGATTGAATGTGAACCAGTAAAGGCAAGTGAAGAACTTTGCCTTTGGCGCCTCACAATTTCAAGGTTCATTCATAACAGAAGGTACATTCTTGCAGACATTATGCATGTAAATGTAGTTCTTCATTAATCTTGCTAAATATTTGAAACACGCTAATAAGACCATGTTTGTGTTCAGTTGTGCTCTTGGAAATGCCACCCTCTGCATGGTGTCATCTCCCTAGGCCAAGTGTGTGATGCTCCTCATGCAAAGCAGGTGAGAGTTTCTCTCACACAAGACTCAAATACTTGGAGATATTTGAGGGAAGGTAGGTGGGTAATAATTTCCTAAAATCTAACTCAATTTCTTTCAGAGCCCAAGTTTATTGAATCTTATCACCCAGCAAGAGATATAGACAGCCAGGCCAAAGGGAAGAAGAGCCAATTAATCCTGTTTGCATGATAAGAACCTCCTAAGTGTGTGTCTTAAATGATGAGATCTGACAGCTCAGCCTGAAAGCTTCAGCTGGAAAATGATAGTGAACAGAAAGCTGCTGAAAATGCTCTACAGGTGTGGTCACCCAAAGTAACCCCACAATATTGCTAGTGATTTAATCAGCATTGGTATCCAAATAATCATGCTGGAATTTTCCACACACCCATGCACACTCTTGCACTCAATCATTTAATCATTTATCTTTTCCAATCGTTTAAGACGAAGTGTGCATGAAAAGTAGTAGTGTAGGCTTTGCAGTCAAGCAGAGCTGGGCTTGGATCTTTTCAGCACCTACTCATTGGATGATATTTACATTTTTGTGCCTCAGTTTTCTCATCTGTAAAATGAGATAATACCTGCTTCAGCAGGTTGCTTTGAGGATTAAGGGAAATTAACTCCTAGAGAGAATCTAGCAGAGAATTTGTCTCCATATAAAGTGATCAATAATAGTCCCTTCCTTTCCATTCTCACTGGTACTAGAGGAGCTTTGTACCTTTTCTTGGCTGCATTCATCTTCTTTTTCCAAATACTAATGGCTGAAATAATTAATTTTTGGCAAACCTAATGAATGCCCCAGTTATTTAATTGGTCCTTAAACTTGGAGGGTAGAGTCTATTTAGACCACAATACAGAAAATAATGAAAGGTCAGGACCCAAGTTTACTTGAAAGGTATCTGCAAAGGGAATTAAATACTGAGAGGGCCAGTAGCACATTCCTTATGTGAACAGTAATGGCTTAGGTGTCAGGTACAATTGAGCTTTAGTGAGAGTGAGGTTTTCTTGCCCTGGATGTCAGTTTGCCTCCTGGTCTGTGAATATGGTATATACCAGGAGTCTATGCCTTCATGGTTCCATCAGTCTCTAGGGTCCTTTATTTGTCCTCTAGGAAGTTCTAAGGAGCTATCATGGAAAGTGAATCATGGTGAGGGTGATCAACTCCTTCTAATTCTTAGCCTTGAATTATAGATGCCCAATTACTGATGATTAATTGGGAATATAAATATTGTTCATCCTTTCCACTTCTAACTCCTGCTGGCCTTTGCTAGGTCCATACTGTAATTTATGATACTCTCCATTGTCTAAGGATAAAATTCAAGCTCCTTAGTGTATAAAGACTTCCCTTATCAAGCCCTTGTTCTTCTTTTGAGACATCTTCATTGCTGCCTGTGATACCTGCTAGCTGCCAGCCATGCCAGCTATTGATATTTGAGGGGCTCCAAGGATCCTGGGCTGTCTCACATCATGCTTTTGAATATGTTCTACCTTAGCCAAAGTTGGCCTCCCCCATTTTGTCTATCTGGGTAAATCCTTCTGCGATCATCCTCTAATAGGTAAAGGTTCCTCCTCTAGGATTTTTTTCTTGACTCTCACAACCAAGGATTTTTGAGTTCTTCTTTATTAATGTCCTACGGCTGCCTCAGGACATGTTCTGTGAGTTACAGATATTTATTTCATTCTTGACTCTGAGGTCTTTAGTGTCAGGAACTGTGACTTCAACCTCCTTACCACCACTTCTTAGTCTGGCTCCTGGCCCATGACAGATAGTCAGTAAATGTGAAATTCCGGAGGAAGGAGACGGTGGAGGGGGAAATTCATCTCCATTCGTCTTTTAAAAAAAAAAATCTACATCTTGCTAAGGGAATTCAAGGTCATTCTCTTGCCCACCCTTAGCTAAAATGCACAGTAAGCTGGATTCTTGCTCAAAGGAAGCCTTGTAATGGAGAATATTTTGGATACCAAGATTAGTTTTATGAGACAAGGTTTATGATTAAAGTTGAGACTAAATTTCTCATATTTAATCATGGAATCTTTGAGAAAGATACTAGTAAGAAGTAATATAGCATAGGCATCAAGAACACCAATCATGGAGACAGACTGCCCTGGTTCAAATCCCAGCTCTGCCATTTACAAGCTTTATTAATTTGGCAAGCTGTTTAATAGCTCAGCTTCTCCAGCTATAAAATGGGGGATAGTAATAGTACTTCTTAGGGGTTGTGAGGATGATTTCATATATGTAAAGTGCTTATACAGGACTCTGGAATATGATAAGCACTATATGAGTCTTCATTCTCACTCATTGTCTAGATCAGGATTTTCCTAAATATTTAGCTGCAGAGTCTTTTGTTTGACACAACCTTCCACAGAAGTTCACATATAAAACATAAATGCAGATCTGTCTTATCGAAATGGGGTATAGGGCTGGGATTAAGCCCAGAGCTCCTCCCTGACCATGCCTGAGGGGTTCTTTGGAGCACTTAAGACTACAGAAGCCTGGTTGAGAAGCTCTGATCACATCACAAAGCCCACATTTTCTAGAAGGACTAAGATCACCTGATCCTCAATCCCCTCAATCCAGAGCAAGCTCCTTCGAAGACCCATCTCTTCTACCCCCGTTCCCTGCAAAGAACACACAGACCGGACAGAAGGAAATGGGTTCTGCTCCTCTTCTGCAGTCATTTTTTATCTGACTTTTAAGTTCAGGGGTACATGTGTAGGATGTGCAGGTTTATTACATAGGTTAATGTGTGCCATGGTGATTTTCTGCACAGATCATCCCATCACCCAGGTATTAAGCCCAGCATCCATTAGCTATTCTTCCTGATGTTCTCGTTCCTTCTACCTCCCACCCTTTGACATACCCCAGTGTGTGTTGTTTCCCCCATGTGTCCATATTGTCTCATCATTCAGCTCCCACTTATAAGTGTGAACACATGGTATTTGGTTTTCTGTTCCTGCATTAGTTTGCTAAGGATAATGGCCTCTAGCTCCATCCATGTCCCTACAAAGGACATGATCTCATTCCTTTTTATGGCTGCATAGTATGCCATGGTGTATATGTACCACATTTTCTCTATCCTGTCTATCACTGATGGGCATTTATGTTGATTCCATGTCTTTGCTATTGTGAATAGTGCTGCAATGAACACATGCATGCATGTATTTTTATAATAGACTGATTTATATTCCTTTGGATATATACCCAGTAAGGAGATTGCAGGGTCAAGTGGTATTTCTGCCCGTAGGTCTTTGAAAAATCATTGCACTGTCTTCCACAATGGTTGAACTAATTTACACTCCCACCAACAGTGTAAAAGTGTTCCTTTTTCTGCACAACCTCACCAATATCTGTTGTTTTTTGACTTTTTAGTAACCGCCATTCTGACTGGTGTGAGATGGTATCTGTATTAGTCCATTTTAATACTGCTATAAAGAATTGCCTGAGACTGTATAATTTATAAAGTAAGGAGGTTCTGTTGACTCACAGTTCAGCATAGTTGGGGAGGCTTCAGAAAACTTACAATCATGGCAGAAGGCAAAGGGAAAGCAAGGCACTTTCTTCAAAAGGCGGCAGGAAGGAGAAGTGCCAAGTGAAGGGTGGAAGACCGCCTTATAAAACCATCAGATCTCATGAGAACTCACTCACTATCACAAAAACAGCATGGGGGAAACCACCCCATGATTCAATTACCTCCAGATGGTCTCTTCCTTGACACATGAGGATTATGGAGATTATGGGAATTACAATTCAAGAAGAGATTTGGGTGGGGACACAAAGCCTAACCATATCAGTATCTGATTGCGGTTTTGATTTGCATTACTCTAATGATCAGTGATGTCGAACTTTTTATCATATATTTGTTGGCCACATGTATGTCTTCTTTTCAGAAATGCCTATTCATGTCCTTTCCCCACTTTTTAATGGAGTTGTTTTTTTCTTGTAAATTTGTTTAAGCTCCTAATAGATGCTGGATATTAGACCTTTGTCAGATGCATAGTTTGCAAAAATTTCCTCCCAATCTGTAGGTTGTCTGTTTACTCTGTTGATAGTTTGTTTTGCTGTGCAGAAGCTCATTAGTTTCTTAATTACATCCCATAATGTAACTAGATCCTGTTTGTCAATTTTTGCTTTTGTTGCAATTGCTTTTGGTGTCTTTGTCATGAAATCTTTGCCCATGCCTATATCCTGAATGACATTGCTTAGGTTTTCTTCTAGGGTTTTTTATACTTTTGGGTTTTACATTTAAGACTTTAATCTATCTTAAGTTGGTTTTGCATATGGTGTAAGGAAGGGATCCAGTTTCAATTTTCTGCATATGGCTAGCTAGTTCTCCCTGCACCATTTATTAAACAGGGAATCCTTTTCCCATTGTTTATTTTGGTCAGATTTGTCAAAGATCAGATTGTTCATAGGTATGCAGTCTTATTTCTGGGCTCTGTATTCTGTATTCTGTTCCATTGGTCTATGCATCTGTTCTTGTACCAGTACCATGCTGCTTTGGTTACTGTAGCCCTATAATGTAGTTGGAAGTCAGGTAACATGATGCCTCCAGCCTTGTTCCTTTTTCTGCGGTCATTTTTCAGTGCCCCCTCAAAAAGCTTGCTTAATGATATGGCTGCACCTCATTGTTTTCTGCCTGGTGGAAGTGTACTTCTGCAGACTCCAAGATTTACATCTTAGAGTCTGAAGAAAGAAGGACAAGAAATGAAGATGTGATTTTTACTGTGCAACTTGCCTTGTTCTGTTTGGTAAAATTAGAACTGGGGTTCACTCTCTTTTGCCAAATATTTTAAGAATTGCCCCAATTTTAATTCATTACTAGCCATATTTTTTACTCCTAATTTGCTCTCATTTGAGCACTTACATTGTCCCCAGTAGGCTATGGCCATACTTTCCACGTCTACACTGTAATTAAATCAGAATTTTTGTATTATTATATAAATAGACACACTGGTAAACCAACCTAGCCTTTGTTATAGTTACCATTGCTTACTTGGTTGACTCAGCATACATACTCAGAGCGGGTTATTATCCTCACTCAACTCAACAGCTCCTGTACTAGTAACTAAAACTCACTCTGATGGAGAAAATAATATATCTTTGTTTTCTAGAGCACAACCCTTCTGACCAGCTACACACTGTAGAGCTGTGTAGACTATTTTGTCAAGAGACAAGAAAGTTGTTATCTTTGTATATAATCATCGCAGTGATAGAAGAGGCACTTCCAGCTTCCTTGTTACATGCAAAAGCATGTGGATTAGTCCCCAAAAATCTGTCTTTCCCATTATTAGTTTGCTAGACTCTGACCAAAAGAGAGGCCTTGAAACAACACATGTCTGTGTGTGCATATGCATGCACACACACACTCGCACATACACACACACATATTTACATTCCTTGTAATATGCGCTTTTCATTACTCTTAGGTGATTCTACAGGTTACATGTTTCATTTGTGGATTGTTTTTATCAGGTTGCCAGAGATAGCATGGACCTGTTTAGTTATTCTTTCAACAAACATTTATTGAGTACTTAGTGGTGATGAATACTGTCTTCAGACTCTATTTTACATTCACAACCATCATATAAATTAAGCACTGTCATCCTCATTTTATAGGTGAGAGAACTTAGAGAGCTAAAGTAATTTGCACAAGCCAAGCAGCCAGGTTTTTTTTGGCGGGGTGACAGGAGTGGGGAAGGGGGAGGAGGAGAAGTAGAGAGCTGGGATTTGAAGCCAAGTATTATGTGAGAGTTCAAACCAGCACTCTCAACCACCATGTGAAGTGCCTCTACCTGATGGGATTTACATGGAAAGATGAAGATTAAGAACACTAAGTTATAGACCCTGGCTTTGGGACCCTCAAACACACCAATACAAAAATCTGATGAGGAGTGATAGGTGCTACGTAGAACATTCAAGCATAGGGCCCTGGGACAGGGAAGAATTGAGTCTGGCTGGAGAGAACAGAGCAGAGGGAGAGATCAAGGAGAGTTTTGCAGAGGAAGTCCTTTCATCTTGTCCTTGAATGGTAGGCAAGGATTCTATTATTATTATTACTATTATTATTATTATTATTTAGAGATAGGGTTTCCCTATGTTGCCCAGGCTGTTCTTGGACTCCTGGGCTCCAGCAGTCCTATCTCCTCAGCTTCCCGAGCAGCTGGAATTATAAGCAGGAGGGAAAAACTTATTGAGAAGGAGAAAAATAATCTTTGTAAGAAACAGCATGAACAATTGTATGGCTATATGTTGTGTCCAGAGAGTAGTGATTAGGCTGATGTGGCTAGAGTAGAGTGTGAAAATGGGAGAACTGGCAAAAACTGAGACTGTAAATGGGTCTTTATTTTGAGCTGTATCAGCCAGGGCTCCTTGCATGTATGCAAAAGAAACAGACTCTAGGTTGAGCTAAAGTAAACTCACAGGAGGTATACTGGGAGCTTACAAAGTCAGCTGGAGAGCTGGCCTTTGAGACTGGCAGGAATTGCTTGGAGAACAGCACCTCCAGAGAGGCAGGAAAGAGGAATATCAGGAATGGTCCCCAGCAGGAAGAGTCTGGTCAGGATAGGAGCGCTCCAACCTTTGTTTCTGTCCCCTATCATGTGTTGGAGATCCAGAGTCTAGGAGGATGACACCCAGCTGGCTGAGCTTAGGTCCCCTATCCTTCCAGGCCTTAGGGAATAAGGCTGGGAAAGGCATCCAGTGGTTTTTTCAGCGTTTTACATGAAAAGGAAGAGTAATTTACCAGAAGTGAAGGAAAGGGACTCTGCTAGGCAGGGAGAATGGGTGCAGGGTGGATTTTTAAAAAATTCGTCTTTAGAAACTATCTACACTTTCAGAACTGGGTACCCACCTGGTCAGATCCATGAGCTGGCTGCCCATGACAACATGGAGGGAGGTTTGCAGACATTTGTGGGAGAGGCAGTGGCCTTGCTAAGAGGCTACTGCTTTGGTCCAGGTGAGAACTGCTAAGTCTTCAGAGTGAATGTGGGGATGGAGGTGAGGAGACAGGCTCACAGGGTGGTAAGAACAGCACTCCATTGCTGCAGTTAACTATAATATCCCTTGCTTAGACAGTGTTACATTCATTTGATGAGAATATTATTGATCTAATGAAGGATTATCCCAAGGCTTATGATTTTATAAATGAGAAAATAACACACACTCCAGGGAGACTTAGCTGTTACATTAACAATTAATAGGAAAATCTGACAAAGCCAAGACTTGGAAGTCATGCTTATCATGAATAATATAGAGCTGAGGGAGTTGGTTGGAACCCAAATACATTCAGAGTAATTTTCCATAAACCTGCCACCTCTAGTTTGAAAATATTTCATGTGTGAGACTGCGATTCTCTCTGACAGGCTGGGGTAGAAAGAAGAGGATGTTGGAAAAGTAAATTGCTCTTTTTGTAATGGTAAAAATGTCATTACTGGGAGGAACATAAATCTTTCTGATCAGGTGTTCTATCTTCAGCTGAGATTCTGGTTCTGAAATCTTTGGCGTTATAAGCAAGCATATTTGAGAACCCCTAAATATATGATAACCAGTTTTATTTTATTATCCAAACAGTAATAGGAGTATTTTTTTCAAGTTATTCAGTGGAGCCAATCACTTTTCTCAACCCTGGAAACAGCAGTAATTTCAAGGTGAAGTCATTGTGGTAAAACTCTGGCCTCCATCCCAGCCAGCCCTGATGGTTCCAGTGAACTTATTCCCTTTTTTTTTGAGACGGAGTCTTGCTCTGTCACCAGGCTGGAGTACAGTGGTGCCATCTCGGCTTACTGCAACCTCTGCCTCCGGGGTTCAAGCGATTCTCCTGCCTCAGTCTCCCAAGTAGCTGGGACTACAGGCACACACCACCATGCCCAGCTAATTTTTCTATTTTTAGTAGAGACAGGGTTTCACCATGTTGGCCAGGATGGTCTTGATCTCTTGACCTCGTGATCTGCCCGCCTCGGCCTCCCAAAGTGCTGGAATTATAGGCATGAGCCATCGCACCCAGCCTACAGTGAACTTATTCTAACAACACTGATGCCTTTTTTTGGATTCTCTGTATGAGTTCCACTTTGAAGAATCTGCTTGAGAGGATGAGGCCAGTTTCTGTATCTATGAATTAGGTTCACCAGTTTCCATAGTGTAATTCCAGACACCAGTTAGGAAAGGTTTGCTTCTGACTACCAGAAGACTGTAGGGAAAGAGTAGAACTGGTCTTAGTTTGTGTCCCCTAACTAACTGCAGACCCTGAGACAAGAATCTGAGAGCAACTAGTGTATTTAGGGAGCACTGAGAGGGGGTGGTGAAGCGAGATGGGAAGAGAGAAAAGGCAATGAAGTGTACATCACTGAGCAGCACAGCTGTGAGCAAGGGGAGCGCAATCCCATGGAGGACCCTCAGGGAGACTGTGTGGGACATACTTCAGAATTGTCCCACTGAGAGGAGAGGAAGCATTTAACCACCAACTTCTCATCTGAAGGTCACTTCAAGGGTGGGGCTACATCTCCAGTACTCCCAGCCTACTCTCCACCCAAACACATGCGAGGCATGGACCTGCAGTTAGAGAATGCCCCCAAGAAGCCATTTGTATACACAAGAACCATCTGCAGGCAACCTCCAGGATTGTCCCTGGAGAAATGGCAGCACACAATCAGCAGCTGATACAAAATGAATGGGAAAAAATTAATTGCTGCACCTTAAAAAAAAAGTCACAAGTATCTTAAAGAACTTGCCATGATGTTAAAAGTGGTTAATTGAATTTCTCTGAGGGACCCATTCAGAGGAGATATTCAGCCATGGATCATACTCTGAAAGAACTTATAATCTAATAACAGAGTTAAGATTCATTTACAAATAAGTCTAATACAAGAGACAAAGTGATGAGAGATGTAGCAAATCATATGCAGAATGAGAGGTGGCAGGGACAACTTCTAGATAGGAAGGACTCCAGAACGATTTCTCAGAGAAGGCAGTACTTGGCTTTCACACTCAGAAATGAAGAGGGTGGACCTTCGATGTGATGAAGCAGAATCATTACAGACACAGAGGATGGGAAGCAAAGGACAAGGTTTGGGTCAATTTAACCTGATGTTGAGGGAGTGAAGGTGAGCTGGGGGAACATTAGAAAATTCAATTGACCTAGGCGTTACCATTCAGGACATAGGCATGGGCAAGGACTTCATGTCTAAAACACCAAAAGCAATGGCAACAAAAGCCAAAATTGACAAATGGGATCTAATTAAACTAAAGAGCTTCTGCACAGCAAAAGGAACTACCATCAGAGTGAACAGGCAACCTACAAAATGGGAGAAAGTTTTCGCAACCTACTCATCTGACAAAGGGCTAATATCCAGAATCTACAATGAACTCAAACAAATTTACAAGAAAAAAACAAACAACCCCAACAATAAGTGGGCAAAGGATATGAACAGACACTTCTCAAAAGAAGACATTTAGGCAGCCAAAAGACACATGAAAAAATGCTCACCATCACTGGCCATCAGAGAAATGCAAATCAAAACCACAATGAGATACCATCTCACACCAGTTAGAATGGCAATCATTAAAAAGTCAGGAAACAACAGGTGCTGGAGAGGATGTGGAGAAATAGGAACACTTTTACACTGTTGGTGGGACTGTAAACTAGTTCAACCATTGTGGAAGTCAGTGTGGCGATTCCTCAGGGATCTAGAACTAGAAATACCATTTGACCCAGCCATCCCATTACTGGGTATATACCCAAAGGACTATAAATTATGCTGCTATAAAGACACATGTACACGTATGTTTATTGCAGCACTATTCACAATAGCAAAGACTTGGAACCAACCCAAATGTCCAACCATGATAGACTGGATTAAGAAAATGTGGCACATATATACCATGTAACAGTATGCAGCCATAAAAAATGATGAGTTCATGTCTTTGTAGGGACATGGATGAAATTGGAAATCATCATTCTCAGTAAACTATCGCAAGGACAAAAAACCAAACACTGCATGTTCTCACTCATAGATGGGAATTGAACAATGAGAACACATGGACACAGGAAGGGGAACATCACACTCTGGGGACTGTTGTGGGGTGGGGGGAGGGGGGAAGGATAGCATTAGGAGATATACCTAATGCTAAATGATGAGTTAATGGGTGCAGCACACCAGCATGGCACATGTATACGTATGTAACTAACCTGCACATTGTGCACATGTACCCTAAAACTTAAAGTATAATAATAATAATAATAATAAAAAGAAAATTCAGTTGAGCCCAAATTGTGAAAAGTCTTCAATACCAGGCTCAGGATGTCAACTTTTACCCTTTAGGCCGGTGGTTTGCAATGGTGTACCAGGTATATGGGGTGCTACCAACTCTTTCAGGTGTAATATAACTTTTTTTATTTTCTGCAACAGAGACACACATACATGCAAACACACACACACACATATGCCCACTAATATTGTTATAATGGTATCTCTCAGGCAATAAACATCTATTACTGGGTCATATGTCATAGTGTGCAACAGGATATAACTTGCAAGAAACAAATAGAAAGAGGTGGGAGAGAATAATGAGATGATGTTTACAACAATACAATATTGTTGCAATACAGCAATACAATATTGTTGCAATACAGCAATACAATATTGTTGCAATACAGCAATACAGTATTGTTGCAATACAGCAATACAGTATTGTTGCATTACAGCAATACAGTATTGTTGCATTACAGCAATACAATATTGTTGCATTACAGCAATACAATATTGTTGCATTACAGCAATACAATATTGTTGTAATACAATACAATAAGGCAATACCATATTGCCTTGTGTGTATATAAACAGGCACAGGCAGGGCAACAAGGAGATCTCAAACATACCTCAAATGCAAAACGCAACCAATAGTTCAGTGATTAGGGGTCAAATCCTCTCAATACTGTCAACTGGGAACCTGCCCCAAACCAATTTTAATATTTAGAAGTGTGCCAAGAAACCAAAAGGGTTGTTAACTTAAAGCAATGGAGAACCATCTCAAGGTTTTTTTGGAGAAAAGTAAGGTGACCTGTTATTAAGAGCATGAGCAGTGACATGGGTTCTCCATGGTTCTCTATAGATGAGGGGCTTTCTGTAATAAAAATATGTGTTCAGGCCACTTGCAATACAACTTATACATGTGGCAAAATGGGAAACTGAATGGAATATTTTGGGACTAGAGACAACTCTTTCTGATATGAGTGTAAAAGGAAAAACCTAGCCTCCCACATCAACTTTTATCAGTATGCATTTGACAATTATGTACTGACTCCAACTAAACACAAGAGACCTTTTAAATGCCGGGTCAGAAAGACACTTACTGGTATGTGACCTTAGTAAGTTACTCATCCTAGTGTCAGTGTGCTCATTGGTAAAATGGAGGTAAAAAGATCAACCTTGCAAAATAATTGCAATGATTAAATAATATAACTTATTAAAATCTTGGCTCTTGATAGCAGGATTCAGGCTACAGAAGGAGTCAGACTAAATAATTTGGCCAATAGATCAGAATCATGATCCAAAAGGCCTTCAGGAGCCAGTAAAAATTTGAGGTGGCTAAGAGTAGGAAATAGAGTGATGGACACTGTGGGGAACTAGAGAGTAAAAAGGTCTTCAAATTAAAAAATACACGAGAGTCTGGGCTTTCCAAACAAAATATGTTGCCTGGCCAAGTTCTGCCTGCCAGATCCTAGTGTTCAGCCACTGTTCTAGATCATTATCTGGGCTCCCATTGCCGTGCCATATGATTGACAGGTATTACCAATCAAACAAATCACTTTTTTACTGAGCTTAGATGAGCCCTGAGAATTCTTCTCATTATGATACATTGTGAGATTTAGTTTACTGATTCTTCTCCCACCCTGCTTCCCAGGCTCAATATGATGGTTACAACAAGTTCACTTTGAACATATTTTCAAAAATACTTTAACATATGAGTGAAGGGGGTAGTATTTCTTGTATAAATGTGCAGTTTCCCAGTACCTTCTTCTCCTAACTCCCAACTGTCCACAATTAATTTTTTTCCTTTTGCATTCATTTTAAAATATATATCAAGTCTGCACTACTCAGGCATTAGGGCTATAAGGTTACCCGTCCCTTAAGGGATGCAGAGTCTCATAGTGTGCTATGGAACAAGGAGCCTAGGGATCCTGGCAAGAGTAGACAGGGAAATAGGCTTATTTAGGAAGTTGAGAAAACAATGCCTGGCTCCAGTGTTGGCTGGCACAAATAACTTCACCACTCTGAGTCTGTTTCCTTAGCTTCCAGTCAGGATAATAATCTCTTCCTTGACCACCTGATGATGTAACTGTGAGGATCAAATAAGTTCATGAGTGCGTAAGAGTTTGGCAAACTAAAAGCCTTTTAACATTGTTGTTCTTCACGCCTGTGATCCCAGCACTTTGGGAGGCTGAGGCGGGTGGATCATGAGGTCAAAAATCGAGACCATCCTGGCTAACATAGTGAAACCCTGTCTCTACTAAAAATACAAAAATTAGCCAGGTGTGGTGGTGCACGCCTGTAATCCCAGCTACTCAGGAGGCTGAGGCAGGAGAATTGCTTGAACCCGGGAGGTGGACGTTGCAATCAGCTGAGATTACACCACTGCACTCCAGAATGGCGGCAGAGTGAGACTCTGTCTCAAAGAAAGAAAAAAAAGTATTGTTCTGTTGTAAGGGAATTGTGGGGAGTGGGTTGGTAGAGTATGTCTGATGAGGCTGCTGGGCTGCTGTGTACTGATTAAGTTGTATAATTTTAAGATTTGCCATAAAATATGTGTTAAGAGTGTCCAGGAAACCAAGAGAACTTTCTTTGCAAGGATCCATGTTTGGTGATAATAATCTCAAAGAACAGAAGTAAAATAAACGAAACTATCATTTTGTAGATTGTGTCATCCCTGTGCTACAAACAATGGAACTTTCTGCTGTCTACCATCTATCATCTTAACTTACCCTAACACACTCATGAACTCATGTGGTGCTCACAACAGCATCGTGAGGTAGTCCAGGAGTGGATGGATGCCCTTGGGAAGTTACTCATGTCCAGCCAGCATGACAGCCAGGAATTGAATATGGGTTTTCTGACTTTTTATATAACACTGTCAACTTTCATGTCTACTCCTACATAAAAATATTGTTCAACTAAGCTTTCTAGAGGAAGATGGGAAGAGGAAATAAAAAAGAAGTTAAAACACTGCTATTCCCGTCCATGTCTTTAGCTGGATACCAGAGATGGCACTGCTAGGCTTTGGCTGCCCTTGGCTTGCATAATCATGCCCTGATTGAATCATTGTGCTGGCATGGCCTTACCTGCAGCTAACCTGATGTCCTTCTGCCTTGCTCAAATGCTAGAAGGCATAGATTTACACTTAAATCAATATTTAATCTAATGTACCTCTCTTGACTCCATTTGTAAAATGGTGTGTAGATCTTGGATAAGAACACAAGCCTACAAGCTGAATCAAAGCCATTTGCAAGGCAGCAAAATCAAGAAGGAGACATGGCAATAAATGCAGAAGAGGGAAGGTCTCCTTGACAAGGAATAGCGTATTTTCTTGCCCTCCTCCTTTTTTATTAAAGCACTATTAAAGACAATAGTGATTTAACATGCCTTGTTGCAAGTGAGGCTCAGGATTCCAATAGGCCCAAAGACATTAACAATAATGAAGAAAAATACCCTAACAAAATAGTTGGAATTCTTTTCAGTCATACATCATAATACTTCAGAGGATATTTTCATTATATGGATAAGAAAAGGCCTTATATATGCCTTTTTTCATATCATAAAATAATAAACACAGGGATACTGAATGCAACTTAAACCTAAATATTTCATTATTATGTAGAAACTGAAATCTATGGTCACTATTCAAAGTGCCCCTGACTCAAAATGATTTGCCCGAATTCCATTTAGATTAATTTCAAACTAGAAATGGAAATCTTAGCTTGATCTTCTTTAAACAGGTTGAACTTCAATTTCCAAGTCTGGAAAATAAATTGTTGTCTGTGGAAGGGAAATGATAAATTAAGTGAGCTTGAAGCATGAAGGAAGAAAGAAAGAAGGGAAGAAAAAGAGAAGAAAAAGGGAAGAAAGAGAAGAGAAAGAAAAGGAAAGAAAAAGAGAGAGAAGAGAGGGAAGAGAAGAGGAAGGAAAGAGAGGGGAGAGAAGGAGAGGGGAGAAATCACTTCCAGTGAGCTGGAAGAATCAGTTTCTCAATAGTAAACTGTACATCTTTCTTATTGGCAAAATCAGACTTATCTCTATCAAAGAGAGTTCAAGTCTTCAAGTTCAACGAATTGGTCTACTTAATTTAGAAGTGTTTTCACTCTTCCTATGCTAAAATATTGTCTCATATTCAATAATGTTCTACATGACCATGTTTTTGGTGGACAGTAAAATCACAGAAAGGGATTCATTCCATAAATTTACAATTAAGTGATGCTATGAGGCATATAAAATGAACAGCATTTCATCCGTAAGTTCTATTGCCTGCTTATAAGTGTCAACAAAATGCCCCTAACTCCAGAATGCCTTTGGAATTGCGTGTTACATTGATAGAAGACTTTAGCTACATGCTTCTAAATCCGTAGTTTCAATAAGCAATGGCTCCACTCATAAGCAGTGCCTTTAATGTCACTTGTGGTAACTAAGGCTTTTGGAAGTCAAGTCAGATTCAAGACAAGGAACACATTTGATAACACATCTAATACAAAGCATAAACGTTGAATTTATATAGTGGTGAAACAGCCTCTCATAATTTCTTTCAGCCCTGCCCCCAAAGCTTCTTCAAATACACATATAATCAGAGCAGGAGCGTGGCACTTGCTGTGCAAGTACACCTTCAAGCCAAGTGCCTTTCTCCTCTTCAATTCCATAGCCTCCCCCAAACCCATCCTATAGGAAAATTTTGAAGCCTTTACATGAACAAAATTATGACATTTGAAAATGTTCAAAATACCTAACTTTCCACATTTAGTATTCTTTTTTTTTTTTTTTTTTTGAGACAGAGTCTCGCTCTGTCGCCCAGGCTGGAGTGCAGTGGTGAGATCTCGGCTCACTGCAAGCTCCACCTCCTGGGTTCACACCATTCTCCTGCCTCAGCCTCCTGAGTAGCTGGGACTACAGGCACCCACCACCACGCCCAGCTAATTTTTTGTATTTTTAGTAGAGACAGGGTTTCACTGTGTTAGCCAGGATGGTCTTGATCTCCTGACCTCGTGATCCGCCTGCCTCGGCCTCCGAAGTACTGGGATTACAGGCTTGAGCCACTGCGCCCGGCCCACATTTAGTATTCTTGTAATGACTATGAGATTTAAAACCATCCTACTAATTCACTGTAATAAGCTAAGATTTTGTCACAAGCATAGTTAGGAACACCATTCTCTATCTGAAGGGCACATGTTAAAGTACACGTGGGTGGTTATTTGTTTTTATGTTAATGTTTACACAACCCTCTTAACTCTGATGACACATGTCTTTCTATGCCAGTGGGCAAGAGTGTTAGACAAAGACACTGTTTTCAAAATAAAAGGGAGAGCTTATGGATAAACCACTTGAGAATCACAACCATTCATCTATTTCTTTTTAACAGCACACATTTCCACTGTGAATGTCTGATATTGACATTTACTTTGTCATTTTAGGTTTAACTAAACAGTCAATTAGAAAAACATGAACTATGCTTTAACTGATCTTTGGTGTAAATTAGATTATACCATTTCTGTTGGATTCATCTGAAAAAAATAAATCAATACTTTAAAATCCATGTCCAAGAATCTCTAGTTGGCATCTGAATTTGTCAACAATTGTTCAATTGCTTAGTCAATACATGTTTATTCACTGAATAATCTGCCTGGTGCTAGGGAGATGCTAAGATAAATATAACTGTCTCTGCCCTTAGGTTATAATCTAGAAGGAAAAATAATGCACGTAGAGACTCATTCTGCTTTATATAAAGCAGAATGTTCTAGGAGGAAGACATAAAGTGCTGTGAGAGCTGAGGAGAAAGGTTTGATTGGAGCCTGTAGAGAGACAGAGATCAGGCAAGCCACAAAGAGCAGCTGGGATTAGGGTCCATACTGAAAAGAGGGGTAGATTTTTACCCTCAAATAAATATACTCTTTCCTTTTCCAGAAAGGGGAGTCCAGCTTTTCTAATCTTAATATGAAGATGATGACACAAAGATGTGTTTGAGAAAGTGAATCATATGGGCCAAGTGGTCTGCGTTGTGTGTAATTATTTCACCTACATGCCCCTAATTTCACTTAGCTGTAACAATAAAAAGCCAAAAAAGGTCTCAAAACATTTCTTCTTTTTTTTTTTTTTTTTAAGTTCTGGGATACATGTGCAGAACATGCAGGTTTGTTAAATAGGTATACATGTGCCATGGTGCTTTGCTGTACCTCTCAACCCATCATCTAGGTTTTAAGCCCCACATGAATTAGGTATTTGTCTTAATGCTATCTCTCCCCTTGTCCCCCCATCCCCCAATAGAACCCAGTGTGTGATGTTCCCCTCCCTGTGTCCATGTGTTCCCATTGTTCAACTCCCACTTATAAGTGAGAACATGCAGTGTTTGGTTTTCTGTTCCTGTGTTAGTTTGCTGAGAATGATGGCTTCCAGCTTCGTCCCTGTCCCTGCAAAGGACATGAACTCATTCTTTTTTATGGCTGCATAATATTCCATGGTGTATATGTGCCATATTTTCTTTATCCAGCCTATCATTGATGGGTATTTGGATTGGTTCCAAGTCTTTGCTATTGTAAATAGTGCTGCAATAAATATACGTGTGCATGTGTCTTTATAGTAGAATGGTTTATAATCCTTTGAGTATATATCCAGTAACGGGATTGCTAGGTCAAATGGTATTTCTGGTTCTAGATCCTTGAGGAATTGCCACACTGTCTTCCACAATGGTTGAACTAATTTACACTCCCACCAACAGTATAAAAGTGTTTCTATTTCTCCACAACCTCACCAGCAGTTGTTGTTTCCTGTCTGAAAACATTTCTTTTATAACAGATCTTCTCCACAGCCAATGCAAGAGAGAATTTTTTAAATGCAAAAAGAAAGTTAATAAAATATCAGATGGCAATAAATTGCTAGAATTTGGCTCAGCCTAGAAAACCAAATTTGTCTTTGACTTTGCAAACCATGCCACATGGAGCTGGCTTCTGAATAAAATTGGGCTTCTAAAAAAAACTGGGGAGAAAAAGTACAACAATTACAACTGAATCCCAACAGTGTCAGGATCCACCAGTCAGTAGCTGCTCTCATCTTTTGCTACTCACTCCAGTTAGGGTTTCCCAACCAATTGTAGCTGCAGGTACAACGGCAGCCACAGCTGGAGACTGCACGGGACAAGAAAAGTAGCACCCTCATGGCCCTGGAGTGTAGGCGTTGCTTTTTAGCCCACTGTGTGACCCTGGATAAGTCATGTCTCATCTCAGTTTTCTCATCTGAAAACTGCCATGCCTGCATCACAGGCTTGTTGTGATTTTTCCAGGGAGATAAGCCATATGAGAATGCTCTGTAAACTGCAAAGCGCTGCCTAAAGCTCAGGGAGTGTCTGTGTTAAAAACCATCACCATCGGCAGTTGGTTTCTGTCCTGAACAAGAAACCTCCCTTACTGAGGCAAAGTGCTTTAATTTTTGTAATCCAGGCCTTTCTTATTGCTGCTTTCACTTAGCTGTGTGGCCTCAGATAAGCCACTGAAACTTTTTAAGCCTCATTTTTCTCAAATTCAAAGTGGACACTGTAATTATGTCTGTACTGCCTATCTTTGAGGTTCACCATCATAATCAAGTAAGATAAAGGGATGTAAAAGCAAATTACAAATATAAAGCACCCCATAAATATTAATGTTATGCTCATATGGAGGTTCCACCTGGATTTCTGACCCAGACTTCTTGATTGAGTGCCTGACCCTTTCCTTTAAACCACCCACCTACATGTAGCTTGTCAAGTGCTGCTATCTTTAAGCTTTCAAGCCTTCTGCTCATCCTTCAAGTCCTGCTTGCCTCTCTGATTCTAGCCCACTGAACGCTAATACAGCACATGCTCCTACTCTGCAGTGGCCCACTCTACCCTGACCATCATTTTAGAAATCATATTCCAGCACCAAGCTCCTTCTACTCCACCATCCTGTGTCTAAGCCCAAGCTAGGCCATGAATTTTCAGAACTTGACAATTCCAGGTCTTTATCTGCAGCCTGCAACTCTCTGTTGCTTAGACTCTCAAAATTCACAGCTGATTTTGTTTCATTTCATTCCTGGAAGATTCAAGTAGGGCAGTGATTCTCAGCATTGTCTGGACATTGGAATCACAAGGGGAACCTGAAAAGAATAACAATGCCTGGGTACTATCCCCCGAAGATTCTGATACAATGGGTCTGGAGGGTAGTGTGAGCATTAGGATTTTTCAAAACTACTCCTATGATTTAAATACATAGCTAAGTTTGAGAACCGCTGACTTAGGGGGCTGTTCCCAGCCAAGTTGTAACCTGGGATGGGGGTGGGGGCTGGTGACAACCCACCTCTCACCTGCATTGGGTGTGGTGGCCAGAATCTACAACAAAGGCAAGTCCTGAAACCAAATCCTAGGGAAACTGATTAAAAATAGCAGCCTAGTCCAATTGGGTTACCAGGTCTCAGGTAGCAGAACTCAGTAAAAAGAGAAATAGGTATGACAAGACCAGATCTTGGTGTCCCCAGTCAAGCATTGTTTAGATTCTATCCCTGGGTTTGGGAAGGGGGCATGGTCAAAGAAAATGAACATGATTTTCCCTATAGCAAACAATAATAGAATTTCCATGGTCTCAGAAGACAGCCTTTATTCTGATTTGTTCACATCTACAAATTTATACCAACTCTGGGTCCTGGAAGTCTTGTTCTTTCCCACATATGAAGTCTGATAAAAAACCAGAGGTGAAGGTGGCAGGAGCCTCAATGACTTGTCCAAGGTCACACAGCAATCTGAAGGTAGGCTTAAGAGCAGAGGACAGGTCTTTTGTCACCATCCAACAATGGACCTATAGGAAATTGATTTGTATATCGTGTATTTAAGCCATGAAGTCAAGAACTATGTGGAATACTCTTTTAAAATAGATCACTATTTAGAAAATTTGTGACTCACAAAAATGTTTTTTAAAACTCTTTTTCCATTTTGAAACTGTAGAGCAAGATACTTTGTTAAGGACGGAACCCCAGCAGATGAGACCCAGGTATTTGCCACTTACTGTAAAGGAAAAAAGAGAGAGAAAATGAATCTGGATATTTTACTGGATTTTTCCCAGCTACCAGGAGATAATTAAGATTCTCTAATATATTTGCTCTGTAATTTCTTGGGGAGGGCAATCACCTAGCTGGGATGCATTTTTTACCTAGAGCCAGGGTATTTATTCCTCTAAGGACTCACAATATAGTCAGATGCCAAGAACATGTGAATAATATTTCCATACAGGTGAATGTTAGGCCAGAAGTGAGGCACTAGAAGACTCATATCCCTGGAGGACTTCAGCTAACTGGGGCAAAGTCTGATGGAATCTACCTATAGACCCAGATGGCCAGAGAAGACAAGCAAGGCAATAACAATAATATGCAGCATTGCACTTTACAGTTTACAAAACACTTTAAGGCATTGTAGTAGCCATGTCTCAGAAAAGTATACAAGTCAAGCAAGTGTCACAAAATAAGTTGAAACAACTTAAGCTATTTTAAGAAGCTGGGGAGAAAAATCACTGTGGGAATGCCCCATGATTTGAAGAAACCTATTTCACAGGTGGCACAAGTAAGTTCAGCAAGATTATGTAACTTGTCAAGCTGACATGAAAATAATGATAGGCCCAATCCTAATGATCAAGGTTCTTATTTCACATTCAGAGTCTATTTTACTATCACACCACAGATGCCTCAAGTAAAAGAAATGCAGGCAGGGTTGAGAGGCCAGGATGCCAGAGTCAGGAAGAACAGCACAAAGAAGAAGGTTTGGTGAGCCCAGTTCTAGGACTGGGTGTGAGACATCCTGGGCTGGTGAGTAGTAAGTAGGTGGTTGGACTTAGGGCAGAGGCCTGGGGCTGCTGTCAGCCTTAATGAAGGAAGAGATGCCACCGTAATTAATGAGTGTTTCTGGAATGTCTGTATGCCCAGGTTGTATCTGCACTGAAGATCATCTGAGCCGGCTGAGCAGTATTAAGTCTGTCTCTGAAATGACCACTCAGATATCGCCTCAACCTAATAAAATAACTTAATGGAATTTTTCACTCTGATCAGATGGTTTCAGGCCCAGTTTAGGATGACTGATCACATTCCCTGAGCCGCTCTGTCATCCTCCCTTCGCTGGAGCTTGCTGGGTTGGCTAGTGATAGGATTTGAGTGATGTTGCCTTATGGTTTATGTCTCTGTTTAACTCGAATGAATATTATGGAACTTAAGTAAATTGTTTAAAATAAAGAATAAAAGCATTTCTGTGTCTTTTCTCTATGTTGAGGGAATGATGGAATAGTGGACTTCATTTTAGAGAAAATCAGATATATCGATCTTTTCATCTATGTGGATACTGAGAGCTTTCATACTTTGGTTTGGAAAGACGAACAAAATTCATACCCAACTAAATGCCTTATGTATGCCCAGAAAATTTTCCTCCATGAAAAAGAGATCTTACAAGAAATCTGTACCTCACTTTCTCTATCCTGTGAAAGTTAGAGATCTTTTCTCACATTTTAAATGATACATGATACATGTATGCCTATGTATAAATGCTGCTCTAGATCATTTGGGGGACAGAAGGAAGAGGGCGGAAGAGCACTTGGAAGTATAGAGAAGTTGTTAATAGATGTTCATGATGAGAGATTAGAGTTTAACACGGTAACAGGCTTCCACTTCGTAAAATAATTGGTTAAGATCTTGATGGGGATTTTTCTTCCCAAACCTCTTGGTCACCCTGACCTGACTTTAGAAGTATCAAAGAGTGAGAAAGTCACATGTAGTCACATACACACATCATAAATAAGTGTGTATCCTCATAAAAATATGCAGAAAATTTTAAAGATCATGATTTTTAATAAAGGATTTTATAGAAGCACACAATATCAGGAAGGGTTGTTAAAAACATAACATTGTGTTCACATGGTGTGTATTTATCAAATTAAGTTTATCTAATTAGCGTGGCAAAATAAAACCCTTACTATAATTATAATTTGGAATTTTTGTACTATAAGAATTTTTTTCTCAAATTACAAAAGCTTGCATATGCCATTTGTCTCTGTAAAAATTAAATATATTCATTTATACGTGGTATTTTAAAAATGAGAGATAGTGAGAAATTCTGGATGTGTTTACTGATGACCATGCCTATAATTAGCTCCAACTTCCTCATTTAAAAAGGAGATTTCCAAGAATAATAGCTCATCTAATTGAAGATCATTATAAACAAATTAGGATGTAATTGTGAGTTGTGCTAATGATGCATGTTAAATGTATAAAGTGATATCCTGGTGTAGAATTATGGTGAATATGTTTGTCCTTACCATTCTTTGTAATTATCATTTCTGTTATGCTTGTGCTGTTTCTGTTTTTTTTTTTTATGTGTATAACATTTTGGAAGTAGGGAAGTTGCAAAATTGGTGCTGTGCTTTGGGACAATTCATTTACTGAGCAGGTATGAGTTGGATTGGAGGAGCAAGAGAAGTCCTTGATGAAGGGAAGGGAGGAAGCTATAAAGAGAATGTTTAGTTTTATTAATATCTGATTTAAAATATCATGTATTAGATGTTGATTCAACAGAGTTATATCATTCAGGAAAATATGACATATCAAAGAGAAATATATACAGTAGTCTTCCCTTATCCTCAGAGGATATGTTCCAAGACCCCCAGTGGCTGACTGAAGCTGTGAATAGTACTGAACCCCGTATATACTATGTTATTTCATATACATACATTCCTATGATAAAGTTGAATTTAGAAATTAGGCACAGTAAGAGATTAACAATAAAATAGAATAATTATAACAATATATGTAATAAAAATTATGTAAATGTGCCCCCCAAAATATCTTACCCTTCTCTACTCATGCAGTTTTGGGCTTTAGTTGACTGCAGGTAACTGGAATTATGGAAGGCAAAACCACAGATAAAGGAGCACTACTGTATTTTTAAAGAATGTTGGCAAAAATATATTAAACCTCAAAACTGGCTTAGCAATTAATAAAACTTTTGAGAATGTCTTCTGTGCAAGGAATTTTAAGCATTTTATCATGCACATACTTGCAAAGTGATGCAGAGCTCTGAGGAAATAATCCAAAAGAAACTTTAAACATAATTGTAATATGAAATCACCATGAGTTATCTTCATGCAAATGTGTCTGGGTGACTCATGGCACTGATCCAATGACAACCCTTCTGTCCTCCCCAGTAGTTGTCCTTTCTCAGGAACAGGTGACCACGCCTGCCTAACCACATACATCCCTCTCCTGAGAAAAGTCCACTCTCCAGGACCTCACTCTAGCTGCTGAGGGCACTCCCTGGAGGATGTGTTTAACTACATCTCCCAAAAGACAAACTGCAAGCCCAGGAGGGCGATCTCAGCAGGCAAAGTATTCAGGACACAAGAGTGGCCTCTGAGCTTCTTTTCTTCTTTGGCTCCTGGAAACTAAGAACAAGGGAAGAAGTGGACTCAGCATGGGCAATTTTTAAAAGTTACACAGTTAGTTCAGCCTCACAACAGATGAACTGACTTTTCTTTTTTTTTTTTTTAAAGGAGTTAATGGTTTGGGCTGGTTGTAATAGCTCCTTGTAATAGATAGTAAAGAGTTTTCTGGATTGAAGCCAAACTTACCTTCAGTGAAAAACACATGAAGGTAATTGCTTAGAGAACTTGCACACTGAAGAGAAGAACAGTTCATGACATTTTAACACAATAAATGATGGGGAAATCCCATTAGGGAATTAATCTTTTATCCATGGAGCTAGAAAGTTAAAAGAGAGAAAACTAAAAGTATTCTTTTATCTGCTTTAAAGTGAAAAAACAAAATCCTAAGGGAGCTACATATTTGCTAGAAAGTACAGGGACTTTCCTGAGCTTGTGCTCTGATGAAATAAGGGGTTTTATTCTTAATGCAGTTTAACATGCATCTTCATGTGGACTTGTTTTCACTGAATACCTTTATGCTATTTCTGTAAGTATATTATTCTTCATTGTTCTAAACTTTGGCATCAAAAATTACATGTATATTTGATGATTCAAAGAAGATAATTATAAGTTTCTCTTCTCTCTTTTTGATTATGCAATATATAATGAGGGCACATTTACTCTCTCTGCATACTCGGCACTCAATCATGTTTGCTGTTCACTCACATTCTTCACTTTCTTAGAAGTCCTCATGCTCCGACTGCTGCTATCCCAGGTATGGTCTCCTGGGCCCCATGGTGGTTTTATAATGCTGGGATCAAAGCTCAGAGATTTAACTGCAGCCATTTTAAGGTTATGGCCCAGAAAATACTAATCAAAAAATTTAATAAAATGAAGATTGAGGGGAGCCTTGCTTTTCCAGGCTTCTTGCTCATACTGCTAATCAGCCTTTATTCATTTGACAAATATCACTGAGCACCTACTAGGTGCCCAAATCTAAGGGGCTGGAGATATAGAAATGTCCTTGCCTGAAAAAGTCTACACATAACTATAGTAGATCAGCATCTGAACAAGTTATTATAGTACCCTGTGAAAAATGCTATATAACAAAAAAAAATGTGATGCGGCTGTATCAGACAGAAATATTTCAATGCAAAGACACAAAGTAAGACTAAAACTCAGGGTAGCCCAAACAAAAAAGCTAATTTATTAGCTTGTACAACTAAAACAGAATTATTGCTGATCCTAGGCACCTCCAGTACCTACAATGTAATTGTATTTAGAGATAGATCTTTGAAAATGTTATTGAGTTAAAATGGGGTCATTAGGGTGAGACCTAATCCAATATGACTGTGTCCTTATAAGAGGAGGAGATTTAGACACAGGCATACACAGAAGGAAGTCCACATGAAGACACAGGGAGAAAAGGAACATCCAGAAGCCAAGGAGAGAGGCCTCAGAAGAAACCAATCCTGCCAACACCTTGATCTCATACTTCTGGCCTCCAGAATTATGATAAAATGAATGTCTCCTTGTTTAACTCAGTCTGTAGTCCTGTGTTATGGCAGCCCTAGCAAACTAATACTGGGCACTGTCACAGGCTCCATGGCGGCTTCTCATCAACTCTTACCATCACCCTTTGGGCTACAAAATAGCATCAGCTGTTCCACACTTTACGATTTCTCACTATATTATCCAAGTGCAGCAAGAGGAAGCTTCTAGTAGCTCTCCATGTTTTAGAATTCCCACTCTTTACCATGCCTTTGTCTGAACAGTTGCTGTGGCTTAGGGAATGCAATTTGTGGACTGGCTGAAGCTATCCAGGACACACCCCTGAGGGTGGGTGAGGTCAGTTCCATCCAAACCGAATAAGGTGAGGTCCCCAAAGGAAGGTCAAGGAATAGTTGTAGAGCATAGCATGGAGATAACCAACAAAGACCCACAGAAAGTGATCAAATAAATCTACCTGGAAAAGCTGAGCAAAAGTAACCCTGAGGGGAATTAAGGTGGGTCTTGGAGAATAAGTAGGTGTTCTGTAGAGAAGGACTCAAAGAATAATACACACAAAGGAAGCAGCATATATGAGGGCACAGAAGGCACAAAAGAGTCTGTTGTATCTGGTAAGGTAATCAACATGTCCCTGTCTACCTGGAAATTTCCAGTTTTAGCCCTGGAAGTCCTACATCCTGAGAACAACTCTTCTTGTTTCTGGCAGATATAGTTTGCCTGGAACTGTATCTATTTTAAACGGAAGTTCCACATCCCAAGACCCCCTTAGTCTTGGACAAACTTGGGTGGTTGGTCACTCTATGTTGGGGGAATTATGAGCAAGGTTTATGAAGCAAATTGGCTGGAGATAAAATAGGAAAGACTGGCTGAAACTAATTGCAAAGGACTTTTCATGCACCCTAGTTTGAAGTAGAGAAAAAAATCTGTAGTGTTCCTTTGCCATATTGCAAAGTAAGTTAGTAGGATGTTATTCTATGGAGGGTAGAGGAACTTCGTGTTAATCATACAAATGCCATGGACCTTTCACAACTTGACCTGTTTCAGGAAGTTCGTGGAACTTGAGGGCTATGTAGCATTGGGAGCAGCAGAAAGTTCCAGGCCAACACTTCTGACTCAGAGACACTGATCTCTGGGGTCAAGGGTCAGCACTCTGCTGGGCACATCACAATGCCCCCAAAATACTAGTTGATTCTTGGTTAACAAGCTTCCCTTAGTAAGTGGAATGGCCTCTTCATCTTCAACTATCCTCTCTGCATACCTTCCTCTAAAAGTTGTATCTCTTTTTTCTACCTTTTCATGCCTTCATTTCCAATTGCCAACCAGGGGCTTCAAACCCACCATACCTACCACTTAACTGCTCACCTTCCCCCAACATTACCTCTTCCACCTACTGCTTTCTGTCTGTTGAGGACGCTGCCATTCTCCAGCCACCCACCCTCATGCTGTGGAATACACTGCAGCCACTGAAAACAAGTGGCTGAAGAAAACAAAGTTGCAAACAATGGATATTTAGAATGATCTCATATTCATATAGATTACATATAAGTACTTTCAGATATATATAAACACAAATATACAGGAAAAATTATCCGGAAGTATATATACCAGACTCTTTTTTTTTTCTTTTTTTTGAGACAGAGTCTCACTCTGTCGCCCAGGCTGGAGTGCAGTGGTGCAATCTTGGCTCACTGCAACCTCCGCCTCCCTGGTTCAAGCAGTTCTCGGTATACCAAACCCTTAACAGTTACTATTTTGAGAGTGTCTGATGGGAAACGGAAGGGGGGTCCTTTTACTTTTTGCTTTATATACATCTCTGTTTAAATTTTTAAAGAATAAGCATATGTAACTATTTTCCAAGCAAAGATAATACACGTTCATTGTGGAAAAATTAAATTGATAGTAGATGATCATTACAGAAAACTTAAATTGCAGATAAACATAAAGAGCAATATAAAACCATCTGAAGGCTGGGCATGATGGCTCATGCCTGTAATCCTAGCACTTTGAAAGGCCGAGGTGGGCGGATCACCTGAGATCAGGGGTTCGAGTCTGGCCTGGACAACATGGTGAAACCCCATCTCTACTAAAAATACAAAAATTATTTGGGCATAGTGGTGCGCACCTGTAATCCTAGCTACTTGGGAGGCTGAGGCAGGAAAATCACTTGAATCCAGGAGGCGAGGTTGCAGTGAGCTGAGATCGCACCATCACACTCCAGCCTGTGCAACAGAGCAAGACTCCATCTCAAAAAAATAAAAAATAAAAAATAATAAAAATAAAACCATCTGAAATGTCACCACCAGAGGTACCATTGTTAGCAGTGTGGGGAACGGCCTGCCAGTCCTCTCTCTGGGCACCATTGCTGATGGAGATACAAAGATTGACCGAAGAGATCTCCCCAACCTGCCCTGCGTCCTCCTCACTGACTGTGACCCTTAGCAAGTTGCAAAGCCCTCCCATTTGCTTTGGCATTTGCAGGACCTCTGGTATCTCTCAGTCTATTTTCATTACCATCACTCTTGTCAAGTCTCTCATTATTTCTCTCCTGCTCTTTGGCAGTCGCCTCCTACCTGGCTCTGACTTTTCTCTCTCCCTCCTTGCAACCAATCACCTCACAGCCTCCAGATTAATCATCCTAAAGTCTAGCTCTGATCATGTTATTTCCTTGTTCAGAAACCTTCAGTGGCTCCCCATTGCCTATAAAAAGTGCCAAACTCCATGATCTGAACTAAAACTAAACTTTTCATTGTTCCCTCGGGAACTTTTCTTCCCCTCAGTTCTTGTTCATATTATTTTCTCCAAGAGAAACACCATTTTATCCAAGCATTTCCATCTATTAAAATTCCTCTTTTTTAGATAATTTAACAGGTATGAGAAGACATTTGCACAAGAATGAAATGTTCATTACAGTCAAGTCTATGATAGGGGAAAATTAAAGCCAACTTAAATGTTTACCAGAAAGCAACTAATTAGGTAAGTATGGTACATGCAGTTGTTCAATGGAATACAGTTCAGCTGTTAAAATGACATATATGTGTACATATATATACATTGTATTTATTATATAGACACGGAAAGTCTATAGAATATTGTCAATCAATATTATATAGACATGGGGAAAGTCTGTAGAATATTGTCAATCTCTATATATAGTATATACATACTATATATACAGTATATAGTTCAT